>NC_000004.12:84981987-85133502 GCF_000001405.40 Homo sapiens | reverse complement strand
AATAAATGAAAGCAGAGGCATAACATACCAAAAGTATGCAGTAAAAGCAGTGTTAAGAGGAAAGTTTTTTTTATTTTAATATAATACAAACTCAGAGAAAGAAAGAGGAAAGTTTATATCCCAAAGCCTACCTCATGGAAAGATCTCAAAATTAATGATCTAACATCACACCTAGAAGAGCTAGAAAAATGAGAACAAACTCTAAAACTAGCAGAAGAAAGGAAATAACTAAAATCAGAGCAGAGCTGAATAAAATTAAGATGCAAAATTCCATTCAAAAACATCAACAAAACCAAAAGTGGGTTGTTTGAAAGAATAAAGGAGATCAATAGACCACTAGCTAGATTAACAAAGAAAAAAAGAGAGAAGATCCAAATTAAGCACAATCAGAAATGACAAAAGTGACACTACAACCAATCTCACAGGAATACAAAAGACCCTGAGATTACTATGAATACCTCCATACGCAAAAAACGAGAAAACCTAGAGTAAACAGATAAATTCCTGAAAACACACAACCTCTCAAGATTGACTGAGAAAGAGATTGAAACCCCAAACAGGCCAATATTAAATTCTAAAATTGAATCAGTAATAAAAAATCTACCAACCAAAAAAAGAAGCCCTGGACCAGATATATTCACAGCTTAATTCTACCAGATGTACAAGGAAGAGCTTGTACAAATCCTACCAAAACTATTCTTAAAAAAAAAAAAAATCAAGGCGGATGGACTCCTCCCTAACTCATTCCATTAAGCCAGCATCACCCTGATACCAATACCTGGCAAAGACACAATGAGAAAACAAAACTACAGCCCAATATAAGGATAATGAACATAGATGGAAACATCGCCAACAAAATACAAGGAAACCAAATTCAGCAACACTTCAAAAAGTTAATTCATCACAATCAAGGAGGCTTCATTCTTGGGATGTAAGATTGGTTCAACATATGCAAATCAATAAATGTGATTCACCACAGAAACAGAATTTAAAACAAAAACCATATGATCATCTCAATAACTGCAGAAAAAGATTTTGATAAAATCTAACATCATCTCATTATAAAAACCCTCAACAAACTAGGAATTGAAGGAACATATGTCAAAATAATAAGAGCAATCTACAACAAAACCACAGCCAACACCATACTGAATTTACAAAAGCTGGAAGCATTCTTCTTGAGAGCTGGAACAGGAAAAGGATGTTCACTCTCACCACTCCTATTCAACATAGTATTGGAAGTTCTAGCCAGAGCAATCAGGAAAAAGAAAAAAATAAAAGGCATCCAAATAAGAAAAGAAGAAATCAAATTATCTCTGTTCACTGGTGATATCTTATACCTAGAAAACCCTAAAGACTCCTCCAAAAACCTCCTAGACTTGACAAATGACTTTGCTAAAGTTTCAGGATACACAATCAATATACAAAATTCAGTAGCATTTCTATACACCAAAAACATTTCAGCTGAGAATCAAATCAAGAACTCAATTCTATTTATAATAGCAACCAAAAAAAATTAAAATAAAATACCTAGGAATACATTTAACCAAGGAGGTGAAAGATCTCTACAAGGAGAACTGTAAAATACTGCTGAATGAAATGATAGATGTCACAAATGGAAAAATATTCCATGCTCATGGACTGGAAGAATCAATATTATTATAATGGTCATATTTCCCAAGGCAGTCTGTATGTTTAATGTTATTTCTATCAAACTACCGATGTCATTTTTCACAGAATTAGAAAAAAACTATTCTAAAATTCATATGGCACCAAACAAGAGCCCATATAGCCAAAGCGATCCTAAGCAAAAAGAAAAAAAACAGGGGGCATCACATTACCCAACTTCAAATTATACTACAAGGCTACAGTAACTAAAATAGCATGATACTGTCACATAGGCCAATGAACAGAATAGAGAACACATAAATAAAGCTTCACATCTATTCCTTCTGATCTTTGACAAAGTCAACAAAAATAATCAGTGGGGAAAGAACTGTGTACTCAATAAATGATGTTGGGATAGCTGGGTAGCCATATGCAGAATAATGAAACTGGAACCCTACTTTTTACCATATACAAAAATTAACTCAAACTTGATTAAAGGTTTAAATGTAATACCTCAAACTATAAGAATCCTAGGGAAAAAAAAAAACTAGGAAACACCATTCTGGATATCGGCCTTGGGAAAGCTCATAACCAAGCCCTCCAAAGCAATTGTAACAAAACCAAAAATTGACAAGTGGGCCATAATAAACCAAAGAGCTTCGGCACAGCCAAATAAACTACCAACAGAGTAAATAGACAACCTACAAAATGGGATACAATACTCACAAACCATGAACTTGACAAAGTTCGAATATCCAGAATCTATAAGAAACTTAAATCCACAAGAAAAATAACCCCATTAAAAAGTGAGGAAAAGAAATAAACAGACACCTCTCAAAAAACACATACAAGCAACCAACAAACATATGAAGAAAATGCTCAACATCACTACTCATCAGGGAAATGCATATCAAAACCAAAATAAGATACCATCTCATGCCAATCAGAATGGCTATTATTAAAAAGTCTAAGAACGAAAGATGCTAGTGAGGCTGCAGAAAAAAGAGGATTATTTTACACTGTTCACTGGAATTTAAATTAGTTCAGCCACTGTGGAAATCAGTTTGGAGATTCCTCAAAGGACTTAAAACAGAACTACCATTCACCCCAGCAATCCCTTTACTAGGTATACATACAAAATAAAATAAATCATTCTACCAAAAAGACACATGGTACTCATATGTTCATCACAACACTATTCACAATAGCAAGGGCATGGAGTCAACCTGGGTATCCATCAATGGTAGACTGGATAAAGAAAATGTGGTACATATACACCCTGGAATATTATGCAGCCATAAAAAATGAAATTATTGTGGCTGGCAAGATGGTCGAATAGGAAAAGCTCTGGTCTCCAGCTCCCAGCAAGATCAATGTAGAAGGCAAGTGATTTCTGCATTTCCAACTGAGGTATCCAGCTCATCTCATTGGGACTGGTTAGACAGTGGGTGCAGCCAATGGAGGGGGAGCCAAAGCATGGTGAGGTGTTGCCGCACCCAGGAAGCACAAGGGGTCAGGGAACTCCCTCCCCTAGCCAAGGGAAGCCTTGAGGGACTGTGCCATGAGGGATGGTGCATTCCAGCCCAGATACTATGCTTTTTTCCACAGTGTTTGCAACCAGCAGACCAGGAGATTCCCTCGGATGCGTACACCACCAAGGCCCTGGGTTTCAAGCACAAAACTGGGTGACCGTTTGGGCAGACACCCACCTAGCTGCAGGAATTTTTTTTCATACCGCAGTGGCACCTAGAAGACCAATGAGACAGAACTGTTCACTCTGCTGGAAATGGGGCTGCAGCCTGGGAGCCAAGTGGTCTAGCTCTGTGGATCCCACAACCACAAAGCCCAGCAAACTAAGATCCACTGACTTGAAATACTGACTTCCAGCACAGCAGTCTGAAGTTGACCTGGGATGCTCCAGCTTGGTGGGGGGAGGGGTGCCTACCATTACTGAGGCTTGAGTGGGCAGTTTTCCCCTCACAGTGTAAACAAAGCCTCCAGGAAGTTCAAACTGGGCGGAGCCCACTGCAGCCCGGCAAAGCTGCTGTAGTGGGACTGCCTCTCTAGATTCCTCCTCTCTGGGCAGGGCATCTCTGAAAGAAAGGCAGCAGCCCCAGTCAGGGTCTTACTCCCATCTCCCTGGGACAGAGCACCTGGGGGAAGGGGTGGCTGTGAGCACAGCTTCAGCAGACTTAAACGTTCCTGCCTGCCAGCTCTGAAGAGAGCAGTGGATCTCACAGCAAAGTGCTCGAGCTCTGCTAAGGGACAGACTGCCTCCTCAAGTGGGTCCCTCACCTCCCTGTATCCTGACTGGGAGACACCTCCCAGTAGGGGCTGACAGACATCTCAAACAGGAGAGCTCCAGCTGGCATTCAGCGGGTGCCCCTCTGGGACTAAGCTTACAGAGGAAGGATCAGGCAGCAATCTTTGCTGTTCTGCAGCCTCCACTGGTGATATCCAGGTAAACAGGGTCTGGAGTAGACCTCCAGCAAACTCAAGCAGACCTGCAGCAGAGAGGCCTGACTGTTAGAAGGAAAACTAACAAACAAAAAGGAATAGCATCAACATCAACAAAAAGGAAGTCCACACAAAAACCCCATCAGAAGGTCACCAACATCTAAGACCAAAGGTAGATAAATCCACTAAGATGAGGAAAAACCAGTGTAGGGGTTCAGTCAGGATGGTGGGAGAAATTGTAAAATAAATACAAACCTTCTTGGAAGGCTGGAAGGTTTTTGTAAAAGCCTCAGGATAGAGTTACGGCTGAAGGCAGCCTAATCTTCTTTGAGCTATAGTAAGGGTAATTAACATGGGAATGTAGAAGAGCCTATCTAAATAGCTTGTTTACTCATGTGGTCCTAAAACTAACCTTTGACCATCTGCGGGTACATGACTGCTCTCTACTGAGCGGGGCGTGGGGCGTGGGGGGGGGGGGTCGGGGGTGGGGGTGGGATTGGCAACGGTAATTACCTTCTAGTGGTGTTTACTTGAGACCTTTGTCATTTAATGTGTGCTGAATACATGCCCAGAGGGCAAGTGAGTTGAGGCTGTGGCTGCTGCGTCTTTATAGCACCTTCCACGGAGTCTGTAAGTGGCCCAGACACTCCGCTAGACTGACAGGCATAATATCTGTGTCAATGTATATTATTCATCTGTTGTTGGGTCAGGGTCTGTGGGACAGACCCCTGCAGCTGGTGCCCTGTGTGAGGAATGCTGCAAAGGGAGCATGACAGAGCCCCGGAAAACGAAGGTCAAAAGGACCACGCAGTCAGTGAGTAATCAGTAAGTCATTGGTGCCCACTCGAGATTTCCAAGTTCGGAGGGGATTGTTCAGGCTGAGGTTTCATCGTGGGACAACAGTTATCAGCTCAACAAAAACAGTATATAAAAGTGTTGAAGCAGCTGCTTAAAGTTAGCAGAGCCTTGGTTTTGCAGGCTCAAGGGACCTAATGCAAACTGTCATGACCCATAATCCATGGTTCCCAAAAGAAGGCATGCTAGATGTAGAGTTCTGGGAACAGGTGGGGAGAAATCTTAAACAACATCACGCACAAGGGCAACGGGTCCCAGTATCATCTTTAACACTGTGAGCTCTAGTAAGGATGGTTTTGGTCCCATTATACACAGAAGAGCCTAAAAAAGAGAAAGAGGAAGAACCTTTACCTATTTAACCACCCCTGAGTCCCTCAGCCCTGCTATCACCAAGCCAAAATAACAAACAGGAAATGGAGGTCTTGCCTGAGCCTCCTCCTCCAAAAAATAGGAAAAAAGACAAGAGACACGCTACAGCTATAAGACCTTGTCTTAAGCAAGCGGCAATAGAAGGGGAGCTCTTAGCCTGCCTGGTAATGCAAGATCAACAAGGCAATCAGGTGCATAAAGAGTTAAGAAAAGGCCTTAGAGGCCGGAGCTGCGCCACCAAGCAGGCAGTAAGTAGGAAGAAAGGCTTGGCAGAGAAAAAGCTCGCAAATCCGGAGCCAGCAAATGCTCCCAGGAACTCAGTCTGCATGGTGGCAGTAGCAACAGGGAGCCAGGCCCAGCATGCCAGAGCTGGCCTGCTGGGGACAGGCTGGAGGTGCACACGTGGGAAGGTCCACCCAGCTGGCAGCAGCCACCTGGTGGCAGGGGGAGGGAGTAGCACAAACAGAAAAAAAAGAAAAAAAAAAGCAAGAAAAAAACATGGCACAAACAAAAAGCATCGCCTAGGTGGGTGCGACTGCAACGCGACCGCCACCCCAGGATCCTCCTGCTCAGCTCTCCAGCTCTACAGTCAGCCCACAGTAAAATTTCATGTGTTCCTTGTATACAAGCGACATCCCAGATTATAATTCGCTGCTAAGATTTAAGTAAAATTTAAGAATTTAGAAGATCTTTTTCTGATAAAGGCCACTGTTATCTCTCTCTTACCCCTAATGTGACTCTCTCCTAATCCAATTTAAGTAAAACAATAACCTCTAAAGGGAGAGAGATTACAAAGAGCCCATGAGTTAGTTAAAGAGCAGTTAAAAGCCAGATGGTAAACATGGAAAAGCAGCAGTCTGGTGGAGGCCACATAATTCAGTCATTCAATCTGGATTTACTGGCACTCAGAGCTAAAACTGGGGCCCTGATATTGGCCTTGGAAAATTTTTCCACTCAGCCCATCAATATAGTTAGCGATTTTGCTTATCTGTTTATTTATTGCAGAACCTTGAAACAGCCCTAATTAAGTCAACTCTGGAGGCCGCCCTGTGTGCTTTTTTTCTCCAACTTCAGCAATTGCTAGATCAACATACACAACCAATTTTTATTACACACATTGGAGCCCGCAGCTCACTGCCTGGCCGATTGGCTTATGGCAATGATCAAGCAGACTTTCAGGTTATGACATCACTGTTTGACCAAGCCACCCAATCACATCAATTTTTCCACCAAAATTGGAGAAACTTATATAAACAATCTCAACTGGCTAAACAAATTATACTGCAATGCCCAGATTGCCAGCTCAAAGGCAGGTCCCCTTCTTCAACAGGTGTTAACACTAGAGGACTAGAACAGAATCAGTTATGGCAAACATGTTACACACATCCCTGAATTTGGAAAACTAAGATGTACATGTATCCGTTGATACCAATTCTCATTTAATTAGTACACACGCCCTTCCTGAAGAGTCCATTCGATATGTCATTAAACATCTTCTTTTAACTTTTACGTTTGTGGGGCAGCCCACAAAAATTAAAACTGATAATGGTCCGGCTTATGCCATCTCACAATTTCAACAATTTTGTCACACGTGGAACATCCAACATTCCACCGGCATCCCATATAACTCCCAAGGACAGGCCATAGTGGAACGTGCCCACTCCATCCTTAAAAATATGCTCAAAAAATGGAAAAGGGGGAGTATGGGTAAAGGACTTGCAACACTGTTGGCATAAGCCTTATTTATCCTCAATCTTCTAAATTTAGATGATAAATTTCAATCGGCTACAGAAAAGCACTTTGCTAAAACCTCTCAAGACATGAAACCTGCAGTTTTATGGAAAGTTGTAACAGTAATGTATGGTGTGGTCCAAATGAATTGTTAAATTGGGGAAGAGAGTATGCTTGTGTTCACAACCCCTTAGGTCCTCTTTGGATTCCAGCACAACACATCAAACCATACCATGGTATGGCTAGGACCCAACCCAGTATCAGAAATGAAGGAACTGACCCTACAGGACCCACAGCCCTGGACGATGCAGCTTCCACAGACAACACAGGCCCCAGACATTATGCTGAAGACAAGTCAGAAGACTGAGTGAATCCTGCTCTGGACACAGACACCATTTACTCCAGATAATTTGTTCCTTACTATGCTTTATTAATCTTTTTTAATTATCTCACTGTGCCTGCTACCTATACCTGCAACACTCTATTAATCTCATCTTCTAAATCTGCCTTTTTTTGGCCCTATTATCTAGGCAGACACTCCCTTCCCAGCATCTAACAATGTGACTGCTTGGCTAGAAGGGATTAACATACTCCCAGTGGGGTTCCTTAGTAATATCACACATCAAACTGAAGTGCCAAATAACAATACACGTCATTCTTTGACTAGAAAAGAATGTTGCTAATTATACTCATGATTGTCTTATGTTATTTACAAATTCTAGGATGCAAAGCTGGAATAAGCAATGACCACCATGCCTGACAAACCTGTTGCTGCATACATCTGTGCTCTCCAATCAATAAGGCCTGATGCAGAAAACAGAAAAGGGGGAGATGTAGGGGTTCAGTCAGGATGGTGGAAGAAATTGTAAAATAAATACAAACCTTTTTGGAAGGCTGGGAAGGTTTTTGTAAAAGCCCCCGCAGGATAGAGTTATGGCTGAAGGCAGTCTAATCCTCTGTGAGCTATAGCAAGGGTAATTAACATATCTAAATAGCTTGTTTACTCATGTGGTCCTAAGACTAACCTTTGACCATCATTCTTCACAGAACTAGAAAAAAAAGCAGTCCTAAAATTCATATAGAACCAAAAAAAAGGACCCACATAGCCAAACCAAGACTAAACAAAAGAACAAATCTGGAGGCATCACATTACCTGACCTCAAACTATAAGTCCATAGTCACCAAAACAGCATGGTACTAGTATAAAAATAGGCACATAGACCAATAGAACAGAATAGAGAACTGAGAAATACAGCCAAATAAACAGCCAACTCATCTTCGACAAGGCAAACAAAAACATAAAGTGAAGAAAGGACACCCTATTCAACAAATGGTGCCGGGACAATTGGCAAGCCATATGTAGAAGAATGAAACTGGATTCTCATCTTCATCTCTTACCTTATAAAAAACCAACTCAAGATAGATCAAAGACTTAAATCTAAGACCTGAAACTATAAATAGTCTAGAAGATAACATCTGAAAAGCCCTTCTAGACATTGCTCTCGCTACGACTTCTGGTACTATATTGAATAGAAGTGGTGAAAGTGGGCCTCTTTGTCTTGTTCCAGTTCCAGGGGGAATGCTTTCAACTTTTCCCTGTTCAGTATAATGTTGACTGTGGGTTTGTCGTAGATGGCTTTTATTCCCCAAAGACTTCATGACCAAAGACCCAAATGCAAATGCAACAAAAACCAAGATCAACAGATAGGGCTTAATTTAAAAAGCTTCTGCACAGCAAAAGAAGCAATCAGCAGAGTTAACAGACAACCCACAGAGTAGGAGAAAATCTTCACAGTCTATACATCTGACAAAGGAATACTATTCAGAATCTACAAAGAACTCAAACAAATCAGCAAGAAAAAAAACAATCCCATCAAAAAAAAAGTGGGCTGAGGACATGAGTAGACAATTCTCAAAAGAAGATATACAAATGACCAAAAAGCATGTGGGAAAATGCTCAACATTACTAATTATCAGGGAAATGCAAATCAAAGCCACAATGTGATACCACATTACTCCTGCAAAACTGGTCATAATCAAAAATTCAAAAAATAGATGTTGGCATGGATGTGGTGAAAAGGGAATACTGTTACATTTTGGTTGGGAATGAAAACTAGTACAACCATTATGGAAAACAGTGTGGAGATTCCTTAAAGAACTAAAAGTAGATATATTATTTAATCCAGCAATTCCACTACTTGGTATCTACCCAGAGAAAAAGAAGCATTATATAAAAAAAAAACTTGCACTTGCATGTTTATAGCAGCACAATTCACAATTGCAAAAATATGGAACAAGCCCAAATGTCCATCAATCCACAAGTAGATAAAGAAAATGTGGTATGTATATGTGTGTGTGTGTGTGTGTGTGTGTGTGTGTGTGTCATGGAATACTACTCAGCCACAAAAAAGAATAAGATAATGGCATTCACAGCAACCTGGATGGAATTGGAGACCATTATTTTAAGCGAAGTAACTCAGGAGTGGAAAACCAAACATCATATGTTCTCACTCATAAGTAGGAGGTAAGCTATAAAGGCACAAAGACATAAGAATAATACAATGGACTTTGGAGACTTGGGGGAAAGAGTGGGAGTGGGGTGAAGGATAAAAGACTACACACTGGGTACAGTGTATACTGCTTGGGTGATGGGTGCACCAAAATCTCAGAAATCACCACTGAAGAATTTACTCATGTAACCAAACACTATCTGTTCCCCAAAAACCTATTGAATTAAAAAAGAAGGTTAATAGGACCTTAGAATGTACATTTATGTAACAACTGCAGCAATATTACCTTTCAACTGAAATTAGTACTTTGGTTCTTCTGGACCACCACTGAGGGAAGAAACTGGCTATGAATTGCTCATAAATTCATCAGTACAAAATAAAGTCTTGAAAGTCTATTTTTGGTCACAGCACTTGCATTTTCAGTAGCCACTAGATGAGTGCTTGGCCCTCTATTAAAGTATGATTTTAAATAGATATATATACCTAGTATGTATCCATAAAAATTAAAAATTAAATTTAAAAAGAATTAAAAATAGAGAAATGAATTACCAAATAGATGAGAAGACTATGAACCAGCCAATTATCTTTATTATTATTTACTTTTAAAAACTTTCCCTAAGCTGCAAAGGTTACTAAAAAAAATTCACTTTACTGCACCATAAGCACCGGTATCATATGTGAATTTCATTACAAAATTATAATATGAATTGTTATGATGTAAATACACCTAATTTAACATTGGGCATATACAGATCCTTGATATAAAAGAAGCCAAAAGACTTGGAATTTTTCTGTTCCCTCATGCGGCAGACAGAACCACCCTGTGTCAGATCCAGAAAGAAACCAAATGGTTTGGTAGTCCAACCTAGTGGTAGGAGGAGTAGTACTACCAGGAGTAATACTAGTAGTAGTATTATTGTCTAGTGTTTAGTATAAAAGTATTATATGCTACTCTCCATAGGAAACCATCAGCAATCAATTTTTTGTGCATCTTGCCAATTTTATATAGAAATGTATATAGCTTTTTTTTTTTACACAAATGAGATTATACCATAAGTACTCTTTGTAATCCTCTATATAAAGTAAAACACATCTGGCTTTCCATTTTTCTGGATCCAAATAAAAATGACTAAGATAACATCATAGTTTAAAATTATATACATTCAGAGGCTAAGTGACATCTCCCTGCCATTAAAATTTCATATTAATAGTTTAGTTCAGGACTAGTCGCTCTTACTCAATTTATCTTACAATGTCACTTACCCATGCTTTCTGCATCTTTTATTTCAACTAGTTAATTTTCTGGATGCTGGTTGTGACCTTAAAATTAATGCAATTAAATTTAATTTTGTTTGATTTTTTTCATGCTTGGAGATGGACCAATTTCTAGTCTGTCATCATTCTTTGGAATGCAGGTCCTGCCATCCAACTGAGCACTCTCCCCTTAAGTTTTGGACCATGTGTGAGTATGCTGCACATATCCTGACATGGCACATTTTGCTTATGCATGACGACTGGATTCCTCAGAACACTAGAAACACAGCTCAAATGTCACAAAAATAGAATCTTACAAAGTGTGACTATAAAGTAATATATTGAGTTTTGGCAATGTAACTGGAAAACCTGTGTAGCCTCTCCAGATTTGTGCTTTTGAATGTATTTGTTCTTACAGGTTTGCATTAAAGTTATTCAAATTAACTGAATATGTATACCTCATTTATTGATGACCCAGTCAACCAACATGTCATTATTAAGAGACAACCTACTGGGTACTGTACTAGTAACTGTGAAGTCTGACACTTGGTAAGTAAAACATTAATAAATAAAAGACAAGATCTTTGTTTGAGCCCAGCCAAGGTGGGAACAAAGGCTGTTAACATTTGGATACAATTCAAGAGGAGAAATCAGACCACTGTCTATGAGCACAGAGCTATCAAAGCTTCTTGAAAGCGATTACAAGAAATTCTCAATTATATTAAGAGATGAAAGCAGAAATGTGAAGCTAGACAGGAACCAGAGTGGAAGATGGAGCAGGATGGTCAAGGAAAGAACCAGACAGAATATGTGAGCCATCCTGAATTCCTATGTTATAAACAACCAGGGAACCCAATCCATTAAAACTAATTAAGAGAAACAGCAGAACATTTTCAGACAGCTAGCTTTTTAGTACCCTACATGTTTCAATAAATTACCTGAAACAGGTAGACAGTCTGACTCAGAATGTGACCTTACAGGAATATGAGCCCTGAGTGGATGGGGAATTCTATAAAAGTCTCAGCTTATATTAGCTATAGGTGCCAGGATCACTTGCTATAAACATACCCATCTAAAGCCATGCCTTCAGCTGAGTGGTTCCTTATAGGTATGTAATTTTAATCAAACAGGTGAAACTCATTTTAATAATATTTTAATTTAACTTTATCAAAAAATTATTATTTAAACATGCTATTATCAAAAAAGAATGAGATAGTTTATATTTTTTCATACTAAGACTTAAAGTCTGGTACGATATCAGTTTGGACAGATCAGATTTCTAGTGCTCAAAAAATCACACAGCTGGTAGCACAGAGTAAAACAGTGCAGAGCTGAACAATTACTCAAATATGTCTACTGTAGTCTTCAACTGATATGTGAGGAAACAATAATAAAGACAACTAACATTTGTAAGTCGCATTACAATCTAAGTTATGTTTTTATATTTTGTCACGTAGGTTTCAAAAGAATAACCTATGGGGTTTGTATGATAAGTATTATCTCTAGCCGACAGTTTATTGAACTTAATAACTTAAATTCTTCATAAGTTGAGACCACACTCCTAGTAATAAACTGGAACCCAAGCCTTCTAGCCACAGTTTAGGCTGCCTTAGAGAGATTAAATGAATTTCAAAAGACTAGCAGGCAAGTTAGCTGTAGGATATGCATTAAAACCTGGGCTACTTTACTCCCAAGCCACTGCTCTTACAACAGGGCAGAGGCCCTCATACCAAGATATATGGCATCTCACAAACCTCCATTTCCCTGAAATTAGTCTGAATGTCAATACTAATCCCATTATTAAACTTTGAGTTGTTCTTAGTCAAACTACCTACCAAAGCCTATTCAAAAAGAGTGATATAATTCTTCAGCCCTCTCTTCTCATTCATGTGACACAACTGTCACAGCAATATTTTAATACATTCTTACTGGGTTTTTTTTTCCCTATGGCAAGAATTGGTGCCTGCAATTTTTAGAGACAAATTAATAGAAGTATCCTTTTAATAATACAATTTTTGTAAAGAAATCAATGACAAAATCTCCCTATATAATTATATATTTGAATAAATATATGTAGCATATGTTTTTATAATTATAATAGCATGCAGAAGAAAACACAGCAAATTGTTACTTTGGATTAGGAGAACTATGTAGTGAAGAGTGAGGGACAAATAGAAGGGAAACGAAATAAGAAGGGAGAAAAATCCCCAAAACCACATGCATAATATGACCACATTTTTGTAAACTAGTATGCTTGTGTATGTATATACACATGCACACATACACATATATGTGTGTATATATGAATGTATACATATATATGCACACAAATATAAATATTTTAAATGACTCATTAGAGTCATGTTATATGAATAGTTTATAGCTGAGAGCTAGGTACCAGCATGATTGATTAACTTTCTAAAATTGAACCACTGAGATAATTTAATTGCTGGAATTTCAAAAATATAAATTTTTAGATGTTTTCTATAGTTCAATGCTTATTCTGAAAGACAGGTTCCACTAAAATATCAGTCAGGCAAAAATATTTATTGATCCCTTAGTATGTGCTAGTATTGGTGCTAGGTACACAAGAGGGAACAAGATAATGTCCCTACCTTCAGTGAGTTGACATTCTAATGTATGGAAGCAGACAGTAACATAAGCAAAATAATTACAATAATTTTAGGAACTTCTAAGTGCTCTGAGTAAAATATAGTGACAATTTGGTCTAGTTTACAGCACTGGAAATGATGAGATATAGTCAGATATAAAATATAATTTAGAAACACAGGCAACTGGACTGTCTGGTAGATTCAATGTGAGCAGTGAAAGAAAGAGGATTCAAGAATAACTCCCATGTTTTCAGCCTGAACAGCAACTGAGTGGATGATAATACCATGTATTGATAAATGGAAAGATTGAGAGATGATTTTTTTCAGAAAATTAAGAGAAGCCATGTTTGGTTAGAGACACTCAAGTAAAAATACTGTGTAAGATATCAGACATACAATTCTGATTTTCAGGACAAAGTTCAAAATTATAAATAAAAATTTGGGAGCCATCAGCATATAGATGGCATTTAAAGCCTTGGGACTAAGCAGGGTATCTTAAGAAAATGTAACTATAGATGATTAGAGGGTTGAAAAATAAACTCTGGGCACTCCAGCAGTTAGAGATGTGTTAACAAAAATAGAGAGCTGGCAAACATAAGAACGGTTTGAGAAATGGAGAAATTTGAGAAAAAGAGAAATACAGGAGAAAAGAGCATATGTGACTGAAGATATAGGCGGGTGGTAGGAAAGTAGCATGTTTTTGTTGATTATATCCATTTTCTCTCTGAAGTAGAAAACCAAGTCATCAACTGAGAGTAAAACAGAATAATCAGTGTTTGAGATTGGAGAAGAGAAGGTGTGAAATAGTCATCTAGAGAGGATGACAGTGAATTTACTAGAAAACTGAAATAGGAGTTTCTGAAAGTGCTCAGTGATTTTGAGATCAGGGGTCATAAATCTGAAGCAAGGCCAGTCAGCATGGTAGTCTAACTGTCATCCAGCAATGTCCAGCTACTCTGGTATAGGGTTGTATTAGTCCATTTTCCTGCTGCTGATAAAGACATACCCAAGACTGGGCAATTTACAAAAGAAAGACGTTTAATGGACCCACAGTTCCACACAGCTAGAAAGGCCTCACAATCATGGTGGAAGGCAAAAGGTACTTCTTACATGGAGGCAGCAAGAGAGAGAATGAGAGAGCTTGTGCAGAGAAACTCTTGTTTTTAATACCATCAGAGCTCATGAGACTTATTCACTATCACAAGAACAGCACAGGAAAGACCCGCCCCCATAATTCAATTACCTCCCACTGGGTTTCTCCCACAACATATGGAAATTATAGGAGTTACAATTCAAGATGAGATTTGGGTGGGGACACAGGCAAACCATATCATGCCACCCCCAGCCCCTCCCAAATCTCATGTCCTCATATTTCCAAACCAATCATACCTTCCCAAAAGTCTCCCAAAGTCTTAACTCGTTTCAGCATTAACTCAAAAATCCAAAGTCTCCTGAGACAAGGCAAGTCCCTTCCACTTATGAGCCTGTAAAATCAAAGGCAAGTTAGTTACTTCCTAGATACAATGGGGATACAGGCATTGGGTAAATACAGCCATTCCAAATGGGGGAAATTGGCCAAAATGAAGGGGCCACAGGCCCCATGCAAGTCTGAAGTCCAGCAGGGCAGTCAAATCTTAAAGCTCTAAATGATTTCCTTTGAATCCATGTCTCACATCCACGTCATGCTAATACAAGTGGTGAGTTCCCATGGTCTTGAGCAGTTCCACCCCTGAGGCTTTGCAGGGGATAGCCTCCCCCTCCCTCCCAGCTGCTTTCACAGGCTGGTTTTGAGTGTCTGTGGTTTTCCCAGGTGCACAGTGCAAGCTGTATGTGGACCTACCATTCTGGGGTCTGGAGGACAGTGGCCCGCTTCTTACAGCTCCTCTAGGTGGTACCCCAGTAGGAACTCTGTGTGGGGGGGCTCCCATCCTACATTTCCCTTCTGCGCTGCCCTAGCAGAGGTTCTCCATGAGAGCCTCACTTCTGCAGCAAACTTCTGCCTGGACATCCAGGAGTTTCCATAGAGCCTCTGAAATCTAGGCAGAGATTCCCAAACCTCAATTCTTGACTTCTGTGAACGCACAGGCTCAACACCACATGGAAGCTGCCAAGACTTGGGGCTTCCACCCTCTGAAGCAACAGCCTGAGCTGTACCTTGGCCTTTTTTAGTCACAGTTGGAGCATCTGGGACAAAGGGCACCAAGTCCTTAGGGTGCACACAGCATAGGGACCCTGGGCCCAACACACAAAACAATTTTTTCCTTCTAAAGCTCCAGGCCTGTGATGGGAGGGGCTGCCCTGAAAACCTCTGACATACCCTGGAGACATTTTCCCAAATGTCTTGGGGAATAACATTCAGCTTGTTACTTATGCAAATTTCTGCACCTGGCTTGAATTTCTCCTCAGAAAATGAGATTTTCTTTTCTATCACATTGTCAGGCTGCAAATTTTCCAAACTTTTATGCTCTGTTTCCCTTTTAAAACTGAATGCTTTTAATAGGGCCCAAAGTCACCTCTTGAATACTTTGCTGCTTAGAAATTTCTTCTGCCAGATACCCTAAATCATCTGTCTCACATTCAAAGTCCACAAATCTCTAGGGCAGGGGCAAAATGCCACCAGTCTCTTTGCTAAAACATAACAAGAGTCACCTTTGCTCCAGTTCCCAACAAGTTCCTCATCTCCATCTGAAACCACCTCAGCCTGGACCTTATTGTTCATATAACTATCAGCATTTTTGTCAAAGCCATTCAACTAGTCTCTAGGACTAGTTGTCCCACATTTTCCTGTCTTCTTCTGAGTCCTCCAAACTGTTCCAACCTCTGCCTGTTACCCACTTCCAAAGTCACTTCCACATTTTTGCATACCTCTTCAGCAATATCCCACTCTCCTGGTACCAGTTTACTGCATTACTCTGTTTTTATGCTGCTGATAAAGACATACCTGAGACTGGGCAATTTACAAAAGAAAGATGTTTAATGGACTCACAGTTCCACACAGCTAGAAAGGCTTCACAATGCTGGTGGAAGGCGAAAGGCACTTCTTACATGGTGGTGACAAAGGAGAGAATGAGAGAGCTTGCCATTTTTAAAACCAACAGATCTCATGAAACTTACTATCACGAGAACAGAGTGGGAAAGACCCACCCCCATAATTTAATTACCTCCCACTGGGTTCCTCCCATGACATGTGTAAATTATGGTAGTTACAATTAAAAGATGAGCTTTGGGTGGGGACACAGGCAAACCATATCAAGAGCCAAAGTACACAGACCATTGGCCTTAATTAGGCACAGCTAAAGTTTGGTCAGCTGCATACAATAGAGTAGGATGGGAGGTCAAGAGAATTAAGGATGTTAGCAATGGGATGGTTATCATGCCAATTCATCGAATCTAACTTGGGTGAAAAGGAGAGTGAGGGGTTGTGAATAGCAAAAACGTGGTGGGGTCAGTAGACAAGTGTTTAAGAAGAAGAATAACTAAAGTGAGAGTACTAGAGTTAGGAGTTAGCTAGCCAGGAGGTGAAGTCAGAGAAGACAATGGCTGGAAATGGTGCCATTATTATGAGTAACACCATGTCTGGATATAACCATATATGGGAGTCAGGAAGCCATGGCAAGATGGAGAGAAGAAAGAGATTCTTGGGGCTAAGAAAGTCAGGCAACTAAGAATTTAGCATAGCAACAGAATGAGTGAAAGAAAGAAAGGAAGCATTTTCATTGTCATCTAGGAGTGAGAAGAAGCAACCAGAAGGAGTACATGACACCACAAGGCAGAGTAATAGTAAAATCTAATGTCATGAGCTACAAAAGAACTAGCAGTTTAAAAGAAGGAGAGGAAGGCTTGAAGGCAGCAAACAAGGATTCAAGGCCATCCATTCACCTCCAGGCCTTGAGGTTCACATGGAGTATGAGAGAAAACACAGCTGCTTCTAGAGAAAGTGGTGTCAATAAAAGCTAGTGTTGCTTGAACAGAATATGATGGGAACAATCAGACAAGAGGTTGAAGATGTGAGCAGTTTGCTAATGACAACCCATGGGTTCCCAAGGGCAGAGTGGGAGAGCCTGGGGGGACAGAGAGAGGCAGGAGATAAGATCAGATCAGGGTATATCCTAAGGAATAAGAGAACTGTCTTTGAAATGATGAATAGTTTGAAAGGGCTGGTGCTTTTCATTGTAAAATGTAAGGTAAACAGAGATATAAAGCTTGTTGGAATTTATCCTGGGATTCTTGGAGCCCTCAATCTATGTCCATGGGAAGAGAGCACTCAGTGGTTCAAGAACTGCCCACACCTGGAGAGGCTGAGTAATGTCTTCCACTATACTGGCTGTCCTCTTGTGTATAAATGCTTTTTACTCATCAAAAGGACTAAGGGCTATGCTGAAAACTCAACAAGGTAATAAGGTCGGGCCTAGGAGGCTGAAATAGAAGAAATAAAATATTTGGGAAAAACTGTCATGGGCACTATTGCTTTCTAAATGCACAAGTGGATGTAATTTGCATTTTAAGGAAGAGGAGAAGGAGGAAAGAACAAGACTTCATAAAGCACAAAGCTGCTCTTCTCCATTGCTAAGTCTGGGATGAACCTAGGCTGGAAGATTACTAAATCATACACTGTCCCCAGCCTATATCTGTTATGACCTATTTGCTGTTAATTTCCTGGACATTGATTACTGCTCATATCTAAAAATCTTTAAATTGTCAAGATGCAAAAATAAATATTAAAAACTTACTAAATTTGTGAGGTGGTGGCAAAAAAAATTGGTGACATGAAGAATGGGAAACAAGAGAAATGATATGAATATTTTGATTAAGGAAATAATTTCCTATAACAAAAAATTAAATTGACTCTTAATTCCATGTGTTTTAAGTGACATAATAAGACCTCTTATGAGACCTGAACAAATTAGTTTTCCAAATGTAAAGGTCACTCATTTCAATAGTTGAATTTCCTTACCTTTTCCAATTATCAGAGCAATGCATGTGGAAAATAAGAAGTAATAAAGCCCTATTATGGTAATGTTATAACATATTACAGGAAACTCAAGCAAGAAGTCTCTTGGGAAAGTCAATAAACAGGCAGCTTAATGAATTGAATATTAAGCTTGTATTACTATCTAGGCAATTTTTTTTTAATTTGGAAATGTGAAAATTAGCTCTAAAGACAGTTTATTTTCTAAAGATAATTTTACTCAACAATTGCCAAATAATTAAATTTATAGTGATACATGCTCACTCAAATGTTCTTAAAGCTAGAGGAGCTCACCATTCGCCCTACACATCATTTATAATCAGAATGATTATTTTAGAATCAGAATGACCAAAGGCTTCCTGCCAGAGGCTGCCGGGCTCATCTCCTTACTCATGGAGTTGAGAGGTAGGCTGTTGACCCTGAGCCAATTCTTCCACGTGTTGCAAAGAACCCAACATCCTTAATACAGCTAATAGGTTGAGTCAAAGGATGCACACACTGTAACATCCATACCTAATTTTTCATGTAAGAAATTTAAAGGGAAATTTTTGAGAATATATGTGAATAGTACTAGAAATATTGTTTTCTTGGGGCATTAAGCCAAACATGTCTCTCATCAGCCAAATTTACTGCAGCTCAATCAATACTCAATTTCAGCAAGCAACTGGCCACCCACTATGTGAAACAAATTGGGATAAAGTTCTTGTTTAAAAAAATCAGAGTTCACAGTCTTCGAAAGGAGAGGGATAAAATCCAAGTAACTATAAAACTGTGATTATAATAGATGGAAGGCATTCGATAATGACATATTATCTTAACTGGTCAACTTCATTGCTGGGTTAGAAAAACTGAATAGATTAATGAAAGTGGATTGACTGTTGTTAAGAACAGAATCCCCTTCAAGCTGTGGTAGTGAAGTGTATTTTAAGTTTATATTTTCAAAGTATCTAAATAAAGTCAGGCCTCCTGTAAATAAGAATTGGATTGAAAAGCCAGTCACTATCACAGTCTCCATCACACAGCAGTCACATAAGCATTAGCTTAGTCTTTCTTCCTCTGCTCCATTTCTCTCCATGACTGTGTGTGGCCAAAAAGAAAACAATTTCTAAGTTTGCATGAACTCATGGGTTTGGTGTCTACCACTGTTTATCTGAATCAAACTCTCAGTATCTCAACTCCGAATTCCAGGCATAGCATGGGTCAGAAATCTATCCATGGTCCAATCAATCAGTCATGGCAGGAAGGATGAAGGCATGTTATACATAGAGCTATCCATCCCAGGGATTAGAAAGAGCCAGAATCCCTAAGAGTATGCGTACGGAAGGTATCACTGGCATCTCTAACCACAAAGGCATCCATTCTTCATGGCCCAGTATGTCCCCATCTTTGCACTTGGACAGCTCCCAGCACACCACAACATTTTTTGATAATTAGCCCATGGGTAGACACACAGTTCTACACAAAGTTGTAGCCATCAGCCTTGTAACTGCCTTTGGAACTATTGCTGGTGGTATGATATTCTTTGTACATCCTCTAAGTTATCTCAATAGAAAGTCAAATATCTCAACACTTCCCAAGTCAGTCTTCCTGAAAGCAAAAATAAATAAAGTTTTGCTGTGAGCAGAAGAAATTACACAGTTACTGTTACATATATGTAGAATAAAAACAAATAGGTGTGCATTGGTAAGGTAATGACTTCCTATATCCTTTGATTCTGACTATTTCTGCTTAGTTCCTGAGGTCAGTTTTGCTTCCTATTATTCCGATGTCTGCATTCTCTTTCAAGTACGAAATATTTCTACACCTCATCCAAGCTGACTTTCACTTGATCTCTACTGTTCTTGACAATTTCAAATCAAAGTATTTTCTGATTTCCAGATTGTCACAACAATCCCTGAGTTCTCCTTGAGCCATTCTTCATAAGATCCAGAGCCACCCTCCACAGTGTCAATCAATCAGCTTGTTCCCTTATTCATTACTGCTCCTATTCACTGGTGGCAGTAAAGATTTTATTACCAACAGTAATGCTGGAAGTAATTAAGCATCTGATTAGTGGTCTGGAGAGTAATTACAACAGGGGAAAATTCAAATTGTGTCTTTAATTTATTGGCAGTTGGTGTTATCAGGTCAACATAATCATAAATGGCTCTGGAAATATTTTGTTATAATAAATGTGAGCAACATATTCTACTCTTCTTCCTAAATATTCAAGCAACAAAATCCTTTAGACTGTTGGATCAAATAACAGAATAACAAGATGAAAGATCTTTACCTCTAAATGGACCCAGATCATGGAGAAAAAAAAAAATCTGTGAGTAAATAATAAATATAGTATCAATAAATGGCAAATAAAGAAATAAGTTGCTTTCATATGTCAAAGCAACACTATTATATGCAGTACTTCAAATAATCATGATTTAAAGTAGAGCAAAGTTCATTTATTCATAAACACTATTCATTAATGCCTACTTTTTGCAGATGGTATGTAGGACAATTAAAAATTAAAGTTGCATCCCTTGAACACCATACAGTCTAATGAAAATAGAATGCATAATAAAGAGAAATGATCATTCACAATTTGCGGGGGGAGGGGGGATCCTGAATACATTTTATCGCATTTCAACTAGCTAAAAGCATTGCGTCTTTTTCTACCCACTTGATTGACAGCTCAGCTGAGCTTAAAATTTCAGATTGAAAATCATTTCAATCAGAATTTTGAACATGCCATTTTATTATCGTCTAGCATCCAGCGTTGTTCATGAGTGAATGTGTGCAATTTTTAATCCTAGTCAGTTCTCTTTCTTCTTGGAAGCTTTGGGGAGTTTCTCTTTGTCGTTGGTATCCTAAGAGTTCATGATTATGTGTCATAACATGCATGCTTTTCTTATCCTTTTTGTTTTGTGGTCCCTGTCAATCTGATAATTCATATCCTTCAGGGCTGAGTTATTTTCATGATTTTTCCCTCCAATTGCTTATTCCCTTTCTGTTTTCTCTGTTCTCTCTGTGTGTGTACCATATTATCTAGATGGGAAACCTCCTGAACTTTCTTTCTTATAACTTCTGTACTATTGTTCATCTCTTTGGTTGTTTTACTCATACAATTTTCTCAAATTTGTCTTTTAAAATTTTTATTGACTTTTTGATTTCTGATTCTATAGTTTTCATTTCCAAGAATTCTAGCTTGTTTACTCAATTTTCCTTTATTAGAGCATCCTTTGTTGTTTTATTTATATATTTTCCCCAACTGTTTGAGTATATTAATTATAATTTTCTTTCTTCTGCTTGATCAGTTTTGCTACTAAGAGACTCTGATGCATTCTTCAATATGCCAGTTACATTTTCAACTCCAGAATTTCTGCTTGATTCTTTTTAATTATTTCAATTTCTTTGTTAAATTTATCTGATAAGATTCTGAATTCCTTCTCTATGTTATCTTAAATTTATTTGAGTTTTCTCAAAACAACTATTTTGATTTCTCTCTCTGAAAGATCACATATCTCTTTCTCTCTGGGATTGCTCCCTTGTGCCTTATTTAGTTCATTTGGTAAGGTCAAGTTTTTCTGGATGGTCCTGATGCTTGTAGATGTTGATTGGTGTCTAGTCATTGAAGAATTAGGTATTTATTGTAGTCTTCACACTCTGGGCTTGTTTGTACCTGTCCTTCTTGGGAAGGCTTTCCAGGTATTCAAAAGGACTTGGGTGTTGTGATGTAAGACATATTGCATTAGGAAGCACCTCAAGACTAGTTATGCTGTGATTCTTACAGACTCGTAGATGTACTGCCTTGGTCGTCTTGGATAAGATCCAGAATTCACTGATTTACCAGGCAAGGACTGTTGTTCTTTTCCCTTACTTTCTGTCACACAAATGGAGTCTCCCTGTCTGTGCTGAGCTGCCTGGAGGTGAAGGGTGACACAAGCACCACTGTGGCCACCATCACTGGGACCGTGCTGGATCAGACCTGAAGTCAGTACAGCACTGAGTCTCACCCAAGGCCTGCTATAGCCACTGCCTGGTTACCGCCTATGTTAACTGAAGGCCCTGGGACTCCACAACAGCAGGTGGCAAATCCAGCCACGTCTCTTGTGCAGTGAGTTCCCCCAGGCCCTGGGCAGGTCCAGAGATGCCATCCGGGAGCCAGGGACTGGAGTCGAAAACCTTAGAAATCTACCTGGTGCTTGATTCTTTTTAATTATTTCAATTTCTTTGTTAAATGTATCTGATAAGATTCTGAATTCCTTCTCTACTGCACCTGAGCTGGCACTCAAACCATGAGACAAAGCCCTTTTCGCTATTCACTTTTCTTTGCACAGGCAGAGGAGCCTCTCACCATGGCCACCACCACAACAGGCTCACAGAGAGTATTGCCAGGCTACTGCCAATGTGCACTTAAAGCCCAAGGCTTCTTCTGTTAGCTTGTGGTGAATGCTGTCAGGCCTAGGGCTCACCCTTCAGGGGAGTGAACTCCCCTCTGACCCAGGGCAGGCCAAAATGCAATCCAAGAACCTATGCCTGGAAATGGGTACCCCAAGAGCCTATTTGGTGCTCTACCCCACTGTGGCCAAACTAGTACCTAAGCTGCAAAATGAAGACCCCTTTATTTTTCGCTCTGCTTTTCTCAAGCAGAAGGAGTCTCCCACTGTAGCACCACCACTGGGAATGTGCTGGATCACACCTAAAGCCAGCATGTCTCAGAGTCTCACTCAAGGCCCATGGAATACTATCTGGGTATCACTGCTGATAATTCCGGGTCCAGGGGCTCTTTAGTCAGCAAGTGATGAATTCTGCCAGGATTGGGTCTCTCCCTTCAAGGCAGCAGGTTCACTTCGAGCCCAGGGTGTGTCTAGAAATATCATCCTGGAGTTAGGACCTGGAATGGGGACCTCATAACTCTGCCCAGTGCTCTGTCTTACTGTGGCTGAACTGGTATCCAAGTTGCAAGACAAAGTCCTCTTTACTCTTCACTCGCCTCTCCTCAATCAGAAGGACAGACTCACTTTCCTTGCTATGAGCTGTGCTACCTGGGGTTAGGAGAAGGGTGGCATAAGCACTCCCTTAGCTGCTCTGACTAGTATCTCACTAGGTTGCATTCCCCCTAAGTCTGCTGATTCTGAGCCTAGCATAGCACTAGGACTTACCTAGTAGTTTCAGTCCTTGTAGCCTAGACTGCCATTCAAGTTTATTTAGGATCTCAGAGGACTTTCGCCTGTGGTGGCGAGACTTGCCAAAAGTCAAGTTCTGACCCTTGCAATGGGTGATTCCTTTCTGGCTAGGGTTGTCCTAAATGCTTTCTGCATTGGTGTCAGCTGAGTTCAGCCGGGTTTTGCTTTCCACTGTGACAGAGAAGCACTGAGTTCAATGCAAAGTCCCGTAGTCACTACACTTTTCCTCCCTCAAGTGCACAGATTCTCTTTCCATGCCACAAGGCCACTGTAGGGGGATGGCAGAGGTGTGGTGTCGGCAATTCAAGACTGACTCTCCTACCCGCTTCAGTGCCTTGTTCCGTGATATGAAGTAAAAGCGAGGTACTGTGAGTGCTTGCCTGATTTTTGGTTCCTGTGAAGGTGATTTTTTTGTGTAGATATTTGTTAAATTTGGTGTTCCTGCAGGAGGGATTGACTAGTGGAGGCTTCTATTCACCTGTCTTGCTCCACCCCACCTCTTGTAATTTTCTAATTTTACCTTGTTCTTCACATTTTTTTATTTGCCCAGTGTTCTTAACCTTTTTCCCATTTAGGAAAAAAAAAGTGCAGCTCACTGCCAGTGCTCATTTAATTTTACATAAACATACTCTTTGAGCCTGAATCAAATGTGACTGATTTTCCTGTGAAAATAATATATAAAAACTGTTCTTCCTGAAGTTATTTCTGAACAGAACTAACATTAGAACATCATAATCATCAGGATTGTCTATTTCAGAAAAATCAGACTCATTAAATGAATCTGTGGCCAACAACTATTCAAGAATAATGTTAACATCACATGTAGGAATGTTACATTTTCTAGGATTTGACATTTTCAGCAATTGAGAATTACTCTATTTAGTCAATGGAAATACCACCACTAAAAAACAGAATGCTATAAACAAAATGATGTCTTTGGTTTCCGAGGTTGATATACTAAAGTGATGCAAAAATAATAATAAAAGTGAAATCTTTCATAGCAAAGTTATCTCGGGGTAAATGCTGCTGCCACAAGCACTGCCAACAAGTATTTTCAGGACAAATGGAAAAAAATTAATTTCTACTTGTTTGGTTTGGCATGTTAAAACACTTCCTCAAATATCTGTTGATCCTTGATTATCTGCTCACTTTAAGAGTGAGACACTGATGAAACCCCGTCTCTATTAAAAATACAAAAATTAGCTGGGCATGGTGGCAGGCGCCTGTAATCCCAGCTACTCGGGAGGCTGAGGCAGGAGAATTGTTTCAACCCAGGAGGCAGGGGTTGCAGTGAGCCAAGATTGTGCCATTGCACTCCAGCCTGGGAGACAAGAGCGAAACTCTGTCTCAAAAAAAAAAAAAAAGAAGGAGACACTACAAGGCTGAGTAGATAGGTGCTCTATGCTTAGATGGGACATGTTGACTGCTTCACTGAAGATGGATTTGATGGTGGCATTTCCCCGGGCCCCACAGCTCTCAAAATCTGTAGACGCTTTCTCTTGGACTGTTAAATTTCACCAGAGAAGAAGCCTCCAGCCCTTATCTGAGAGTCTGCCAGTATCATCAGAGGTAATGTAGTGAATGTGGGAAAGGACATTTCATGGAACAATATAGAGTTTTACTTAATATATTTATTTTCTGTGTAGTTCTCTGCTTTCAGTTATGTGGTTCAATGTCTCCAAAAATTAAGCCTCTGATCTCCTATCTGCATGGACAAGAGGATCAGCAAGCTTTGGGAGGGTATCAGAGGATCTGACTGTTTTTATACAGACTTTCAACTAGCCCGTACGTTTTAAGCCCTACCTGGACCCCTCTCCCTCTTTCCAGAAGGACATGAAATTCCTAAGCCTTTCTAGAATTCTGTGGCAGGACTCAGCTGACCTTTGCACGTCTCTTATTCCTGACTGGGGTTTCAGATTCCTCTGGTCTTCTAAGTATGTTACTATTCATCTGGGTGATAGATTAAGGATGGCCCTAAATTTTTGACCCCATCTGTTCTATTGAGATTAGCACATGCCTAATAAAATATGACAGAATGAGAGCTGTGCCAACTGTTAGACCCAGGCCTTAACAGACTGAACGCTCATTCTAGGAGCTCTGAGTTGCCGGGTATGTAGTCCAGCCACCCTGCAGGTGAAGCCCTGACTGAGAGTTTATGGAGAGGAAAGGAGATCCAGCTGGGCACAGACTTCCAGCTGTTCCTGCCAAGGTGTGTGAGTAAGGCCATCGTGGAGACTCCAGACTAGCTCAGTTGCCAGACGAATACCACTGAGTGACCACAGTCAATGCATATGGAATGAGAGAATCACCCAGCTGAGACTTGCCCAAAGATTTGACCACAAAAATTGTAAGGTATAATAAAATCGTTGTTTTAATCCATTAACTTTTGGGATAGTCAAATACATAGCAATACATAACCAGAACAAGCTGCTTTTCTCCTTCCAAATTATGTGTTTTTTTCCCCTGTCCTGGTTTTTCTGTTCATGGAGCTTATGACTTTTTTTAAAAAAAAAACCTCTGTATTGTCATTTTAGGAAGCTTTTAGTGGAGGTGGCAGTGAGTGCATGTATGCTATCCACCATGCTTAATGAGACATTGCCTCATTTATTCTTTAGTCTCTTTTATATTGTGAACCATAATTCATTTTTGTATATTAAATTATTGGATTTTTGTGAAATTTTTCAAAACCCAAAGAAAAATTTTGATGGTATAAGCTATCTCTTCCATCAATTACAATTCTACAAACCAAAGTCCTTCTGATAAAATTACATTGTTTCTGGCCTACCAACAGATTTGCAATATTAAGATTGAGCCAGATTTCTAATACAGTTTAGCCTTCATTATTCTTCCCAGAAAAGCCTATGACAGATAACAGCAATGAATTTAATGCCACATGTCAACTCATTTTACGGAACTAAAGATACTGTCCTTTTCTAAAACCTAGTTAAGGGAATGTCTAATCTCATCTTCTAGTCCTATTTCTGACAGGATCCGTCAGTGCTCAGTAAAAACTGGATCAAATTAATGCTTTCTGGCATGCGTTAGCAGTCAGTAAGGTCATTCATTAGCGTGTAAAATACACCCAGCATTACAAACAGATAGAGGTGCCACTCTAGCACTTCATCTCAATCACTCCTGCATGCTGCCCCAAGTTGTAACGCATGGTTCTATCCAGGAGTGTAGTATTAGATGGGAATACAACCAACAAAAGTCACGTAAGTGATATTTCCCTGAAAGTCATCACTGCTAGACCATATAGCTAAACAGCAATTACGATGATGTAGAAATTTATAAGTCTGTAACTCCTGTTACCATGAGCTTAACAATAACAGAGAATCTGGAAGTGGGAAAAGAGGGAGGAAGGATAACTCTAGGTCTGTCTGTATTTGAAGGTAGGTGGCCAATAGACATTAGTTCCTTGCCCCATTCCATTGTCCTCCTGTGGAACTATCTGATGAACACCATATATGAAGCCAGTTTAGAAGCAGGGAAAGAACAGTGATTTTGGAAGGTGTTTTGTAGTCCAGTGCTTCTCAGACTTGCATGAGCATGCAAATTTCCTGAGATCTTGCTAAAATGCAAATCTGATTCAGTAGGTCTCATTGGTGGCTGAGATTCTGCATTTCTCTAACAAGATCCCTGTGTTGCCAAGGCTGCTGGTCCACAGAACACACATTGAGAAGTAAGACTTCTCAATAGTTAGATGTTTATGTATATCCTTTCTTCATTACATTCAGGACACATCCACATTCCCTTCCACCATGCATAACAGTGCCCTAAAAATAAAATTCTCAATAATATTCATGAAATAAATTGGCATGAGTAGTTACTCATGAAGAGGAAAATAATCTGACTACATATACCTGGCTCCTTGAGGAAATGCTAAATATTTTTGAAATTCCATTTTCTATTATTATTGTTTTAAATGTGCCTGAAACACATTTAAAACATATATAACTGAAACATATATAACTGAAAACAATATAACTGAAAAAAATATAACTGAAACAACTCCATAAAATATTCATTCATATCTACATTAGGATATTTGTGCAACACATAAAGAAAATCATAGTCCCTGTTCCCTGAAGGCTTATAGTCCAGTTAGGAAGAAAATATATTAGCTATGCCACACAGAATCTAAATATCAATTTTAAAGTAGTGCATTACAAGATGAATTGTCAAATGATTGTTGTAGATGTTATGGAATATAAGTTTAAATAAGGAGGTGGTAAATTATGGCTAAGGAGATCTGGAAGAGTTTGAAAGATAGATAAATAGGTAGATAGATAAATAGAGAGATGGATAGATAGATCGATAGATAGATAGATAGATAGATAGATAGATAGATAGATAGACAGATAGATAGTACACAGGTGGATGATGGACTCTTCTCCAAGAGGCACGAGGCATTCTTGTGATGCATAGAAGAGAGCAAATAAACATATTTTTACATACATTTATTTTATTAGCCTGATCTGTGCTGCAATAGGCTCATTTATCCTATAGCGTAGCTCCCAGCATAGTTTATGCCTCCTGTAAAAATTAGATACTATAATGTTCTACTGTAAGTATTCTGCTTCCATTTTCTATTAACCATCCCCTTAGTAATAAGAAAATAGGCAAATGTATTTATCCCTCAGGGCTTCTGAATTCAGTAGACAACATCCTGCATTACCCTTAAAATTAATCACATCCCAGAGTGCCTCAAAATGAACTTTAGCAAATAATGCAACTGTGATATAATTTGCATATAAGATTTCAGAGTGTTCAGGGCTTCTATTTCCCCCAGCTCAGCACTGATCTCCTAAATGGGATTGTACATACCTGGTAAGAGCAAAGGTGAAGTGTGCTTTAGTAAGGTGCGCTTACTAAAAATAAATAGATCTGGGACATTTTGTCTTCTGAGACCACAGTAACAATATTTAAGCGTTTTAGTTTAGGGCAGGACACACAGGTTATCCACAAAGATCAGATTTTCTCTTACTGGCCATTTTATAACAGGAAAATGGAGCCATTTTAAATGATTGAAGGGAAAAGATGTGGTTACTATTAATCAAAATCATTGCTGCCCAAAATTTTTAAATACCAGAATTAACCAAAGTAAAAATCCAAAGGAAAACCCACTCTAAGTTTTCAGTGGCCTCTCCCATCCACATCCCAAACTCCTCTCCTGCCCCGCACTGCAAGCACCTGACCACCTCCAGCTCTCCTCCTCTGTCAAAATGTTCTCTTGGAATGAGGTCTGCGACCAGCAAGTGATGTATCTTTTCCTTTGTGCCGTACTTCTCAAGGTAGAAGCATGGAAAATATGAAGCTCCTGCTGAAGAAGCCTGAGCCAGTGATAGACAATGTCTCAGAGTAAAAGTCATGCCACACACTTAGAATATCAACTCTATTGAAAGTAAGAGAGCCCGGTGCAGTGGCTTATGCCTGTAATCCCAGCACTTTGGGAGGCTGAGGCGGGCTGATCACGAGGTCAGGAGATTGAGACCATCCTGGCTAACACGGTGAAACCCTGTCTCCACTAAAAATACAAAAAATTAGCCGGGCAAGGTGGCAGGCACCTGTAGTCCCAACTACTGGGGAGGCTGAGGCAGGAGAATGGCATGAACCCAGGAGGCAGAGTTTGTAGTGAGCCGAGATTGTGCCACTTTACTCCAGCCTGGGCATCAGAGCGAGACTTTGTCTCAAAAAAAAAAAAAAAAAAAAAAAGTAAGAGAAGACTTTCATATTCAAACACACAAGTAGGAGTAGAATTGACATTTTTTTAACTTTTATTTCAAGTTCAGGGGTACAACTGCAGGTTAGTTACATAGGTAAACTTGTGTCATGGGGGTTTGTTGTACAGATTATTTCATCAGCCAGGTAGTAAGCCTAGTACCCATTAGTTATTTGTCCTGATCCTCTCCCTCCTCCCACCCTCTACCCTCTGAAAATCCCCAGTATGTTATTGTTCCCCTCCGTGTGTCCATATGGAGCAAGAAGGCAATCTGTCATAGGCTGAGAGTCTATCTTGAATATTAACTTAAGAATTGACATCTAAATTAATGTTCAAGATAGACTCTTAGCCTATGGCAGATTGGTTTCTTGGTCCACATCATCATTACCTCCAACTCAGATCCAGATGTGCATATTTACCTTCCTCTGCCCTGATGAGTAATTAGAAGGAAAAGTTTGAAAAGCATTATCTCCATATTTGTACCATTTTTGGATCTACGTTCATTTTCAGTCCAGTCCTCTCCCTTTCCAATAAGTCAAAAGGCAGGCCTGTATGGAAAACTCTCTTCTCTATAAAGCAAAGCTTCTCACCTTTTCTCTACATGAGTATTCCTGAGGATAAGGCATATTTCCATGAATTACACTTACAGAAAGTGATTCTCAGTAGGATATCGCAATTATGGCAAACATTGATTCTGATCAATCCTTCAGGAGGAGGCTCTCTCTGTTACCTCACCCCATACCTATAGCTATTCATTTAGCCAATAAACTTTTAATGTCTATTCTCTATGAGCCAGGTGCTGTAATCATTAGGAAACTTACTTATGCTTGAGGTTGGGGATAGAGAAGATGAGTGAACCACCCATTGTAATATAATGCAACAATCACAATTTATGGACATTTGAAAAGGCAGTAAAATGTGTCTTAAAAGTCAAAAGAATTTAAAAAATCAAAGCAGACCTAGGTATGATTCAGATATTAAAGTTGGCAGAAAAATCCCCTGACAGTTTTCAGCAGGTCTCCCATTGTCTCACCTATAAGCAAGCCGTATGGAAGACCAGGAAACAGACCCCAACAGTACAACCCAGAGAAGGATATGGGTGAGGAGGAATCTGAGGGAAGATGGTTCTAAAACCAGCACAGAAATTGTAGAATAAAGACTACAGAAGAGTCACTAGGCTTGACAAGTATGAAGTCAATGATCACCATTCTTTGAGATAATTAAGAAGTACTTAAGAATGTAAGTTAAGGGATTGTGAGAGTCAAAATTTTTGTCCCAAAAAATGTTTTAATGTAAATTGCTTTATTTTTAGAACTAACCTCATCCAGTTTTGAGGCCCCAGTTTTTTCTGTAAGATTAACTCATGCTGTTTCAGATTAGTCTTTGGGAGGTATCATCTCAGGGACTGCTTATTTAGATTCTCCCTTTTCTGCATAATCTACATTCTTGAGGCGCTTACTTATCATCCTGGCACCAGTACAAGGGGCATCTGATGTACTCCTGTCCTTGTTTTTTAGATCTTTATCACCTCCTTGGAAACATCCCTCATTTCACATGATTCCCTATGTCTCCTGCACTGTTATCTGCTGAAATATGACTATTTAAATATTTTCTCTGCATCTTTGGGCCCCACACTCTGTCCTCCTTGTCCTAACCACAGGGTACCATAGATTATCTTATTCCCATAGGAAGCCTGATAATGTTAGGCTGATAATGTTAGGCTGCTTTCTCAGTATCACACTTAAATGGCCTTCAACCTTGAGGCTTGGACACCTTCCTCATCTAGGTCTAACCTCTCACTATGACAGGGCCATGTTGTTTTGGTACCATGCATAACAGAAGAAGGGGCTTAAAATTTTCCTGGGATTCATCCACAAAAAAAACATTCTTGTTTTATCCGTCACTCTCTCTTCCTCTCCCTCTCAACCTAGCAACAGAGGGTTTTCTATCTTACATCATTTTTGCTGAGACAAAAAAAAGAGTCTGTGCAATATATATATACCAGACAAGTTCAAAATTGAGTAGAACCTCCGCTTCTTACTGGAGGAATAAAGAAGAAAATGCTACCACTATAATATAAACTCAATTACTGAAAAAAATAGAATGTGAAATGGAATTTGTATGAGATATTATCTTTCAGCATTTGGAAAGCTCATGTGGTAGGTTATGTCCAGGCCTGCTATAGACCCAAAACACAACAAAAAATAGAACATAGTCATATGCGACTATGGCACAGGTAGGAAGAACTTCACTGGTTGTACGTGGACCACTGATAGACCATGTCCCCACCCTCAGACTAATTACTTAAAAGGCAATATTTGATCACAGAACCTAGGTGACAGCTCCTTGAGGAACAAGAGGGTCATCAGGTAACTGCACACATTCACTGGTGTACTTTTCTGGTGGACATAATTTACATAGTTGTTTGCTATGCAACCAAAGCAGAAGTAAGCTTAAACCATTTCCAGTTCATTATTCTGGCCAGTCTTCGACAGATATCAAACTTCACAGCCTCACCTAGCTACTCCCTTCTCCTTTGCTACTCTTTTCTTACCTTTCTACTCCATCCTCACTTTGCACTTCAGCTTTCTTTTCTCCTTAAAACTGCCTTGTCAAATAAGAACTTTTTCCTTGAACTGTATTTTAAAATTTCTTTACTGGCTTATTATAGTAAGACTCTTATAATTCATTCCCTATGATTGCTGTAACCATAAACTTGATGACTTAAAGCAACATAAATTTATTCTCTTACAGTTTTATAAATCAGAAGAGACTTCTGACTATTGTTACTCTAGTATTTTCCTTCACTTTCATGGTGGTGTTAACATTCACCGTATCATTCACCATATTCATAATGTGGTACCATGCATAATTGAATAAGGGACTTAAAATTTTCCTGGGATTCATCCAGAAACAAAACACTCTTGTTTTATCCGTTGCTCTCTCTATTCATAATGATGAATTATATGGTGAATGTTAACACTACCGTGAAAGTGAAGGAAAATACTAGAGTAACAATAAGAAAAAGAACTTCTGTAATAAAGACTATCATTAAAATAATCATTTCTTAAAAACAAGTTTCATAATCTCAACAAGGGCTTTACAGTGAATATATTTAAAGAGCTTCATAAACTTCATTATGCACATCAAAACACCCAAGTCAGAGGGTTTTATGAAAAAGTCATTTGCTTTTTACTATCAAAAAATCTAAGCTCACTTATAAGAGGATTAATGCAACATTTTCTATGTATACAAGGTGTGATTTAAGTAAAACCATGGAGAAATAACAGTAGGTCAATATATACCATCCAGTGTTCTAAAAACATAACCTTTTTCTTTCATCTTTTTATTTTAATTAATACAAAAATCAGGTGCATATTCTCAAAGTAAAGGTTAAAAATAGCAAGAAAAAGTAAGGAATTTTTTTTTTAAAAAGGCAGACTGCCACATGCAGCACCTCATTTGGATGTGTCTGGAGTCTTGGAAGCTTGACTACCCTACGTTCTGCTACAAATTGACCTTGAGAGCTTATTTGGAGGTTCTAGAAGGGGACATAGCTACTCATATACCCTTGACTGAAGACCAGTCCTTCTCTCTCGGGGATGGTCGTCCTCTTTGACCGAGTGCACAGCTTTGGTAGGGATGCACATGGAGTGGTGAGGGAAGAAGGGGACATCTGCCTAGCCAGCCAGATCAGCCAAATCAACCCTGCCAATCAATGGGGCGAAAGATATTGCAGCCAGATTGCCCTCACATCCAGAAAAATTTTTTTGAATGTCATTCAAAGATGTCTTTCAGGAAATTCTGTGTACTTTTAGGCAGACATGTTTTGCTCTTTAATTTACATCTTTATTCTTATAATGGGTCAGCTTGTCAGCAAAATGTAGGTACAAACTTTCATAGCAGTATCTTTTGTAGCAATATTATCCATGCTCTTAAGAGGCATAAATATGTCCCCTTCTAAGAACTTGTCTGGCATTGTGAATAACAGTCCTATCTCTAGAGTCACAGTGCTATGTAACCTTCAACCCCTCTTTGCTCCAGTTTCTTTATCTATAAAATAAGGATGGTATTGACCTCTTAAGGTAGTTGTACAAAAGAAAGTACTTAGAATAGTACCTGGTAAATTATAAGCTCTTAATAAATCTTAGCTATTGTCATTATCTCTGCTTTTGATTCACTAGCTTTTTAAAAATAAGAAAACTCTGGAATGATGATAAACTATTGATCTTAAAATAAATTATAGTGAATCCATTTACAGTACATGCACTCAACAAATTCAATGGCAAAAATAGACTACCTTAGTAAGAAGGAAACAGATCAATGAAACAAAATAGATGACATAAATATGGTTAGGTGACAAAGATACAACGACACTTTCAGAAAAGAAGGATAGCCTTTTCAATAAATAGTGCTGCAGCATTTGGACATCCATAAGCAAAATAAATAAAGAAACAATCTAAATCTTACACCTTATACAAAAATGAACTCAAAATGGACCATAGACTTTAATATAAAATCTGAAACTATAAAGTTTCTAGAAAAAAAAATACACAGGAGCAATGCTTTGGGATCTAGAGCTAGATAGAGTTATCAGAATTGATACCAAAGCCCAATCTATAAAAAGAAAATCTTATAAATTCGACCTCATCAAAATTTAAATATTTTTTTCTGTGAGAGCTCGTGGGAAGAGAACGTAAAGACAAGATGCAAACTGGGAGAAAATATTTGCAGATTAGCATATCTAACAACAGACTATTACATAGAATATATAAAGAATGTGCAAAACTCAACAGTAAAAAAGCAAACTATTCAATTAGAAAATGGACAAAGGATATGAAGAGACAATTCACCAAGGAGCACACACAGATGGCAATTAAGCACATAAAACAATGTTCAACATCATTATCAACTAGGGAAATGCAAATTAAAGTCTCGATGAGATTTCGATACACACCTATCGGAATGGCTAAAATTAAAAAGTGACAACACCAAAGGCTACCAAAGCTGTGGAAAAACTGGATCACTCATACATTGCTGGTGGGGCTGTAATATGATACAAACACTCTGGAAAATAACTTAGCAGTTTCTTATAAAGCTAAACACTCAATTGCTATATAACCCAACTGATACGTTTTCGCTGTGTCCCCACCCAAATTTCATCTTGAATTGTAGCTCCCTTAATTTCCACGTGTTGTGGGAGGGAGGCAGTGGGAGATAATTTAATCACAGGGTGGTTTCCCCCATACTCTTCTCATGGTAGTGAATAAGTCTCACGAGATCTGATGGTTTTATAAGGGGTTTCCCCTTTTGCTGGGCTCTCATTCTCTCTTGCCTGCTGCCATGTAAGATGTGCCTTTTGCCTTCTGCCATGATTGTGAGGCCTCCCCAGCCACGTGGAACTGTGAGTCCATTAAACCTCTTTTCCTTTATAAATTACCCAGTCTCAGGTATGTCTTCATCAGCAGTGTAAAAATGAACTAATATACCAACAATTATACTTCTGAGCATTTATGCCAGAGAAATGAAAATTTGCATTCACACAAAAATCTATTCATGAATGTTCTTAACAGTTTTATTCATAAAAGCCAAAAACTGGCATTAGTCCTGATGTCCTTTACCAAGTGAATGATTACACAAATTGTGGTACATTCACATTATGGTATATTATTCAGCAATAAAAAGAAACAAATTATTAATATACATGACAACCTAGATGATTCTCCAGAGATTTATACTGTGTGAAGAAAGCCAATTCCAGAAGCCTACATTATGTATGATTTCAACTATATAACATTCTGGAAAAGGTAAAACTATGGAGACAATAAAATGGTTAGTAGTTGCAGGGGTTGTTAGGGTGAGAGAGGGATAGTTGGAGTACAGATGTTTAGGACAGTAAAACTATTTTGTATGATACCATAATGGTGGATAAATTTCACTGGACATTTGCCAAGCTCCATAGGTATACATACAACACCAAGAGTGAACCCTAATGTAAACTATGGACTTTGGGTAATAATCATGTGTCAATGTAGGTTTCTACGTTCATAGACTGACAAATATAGTACTGTGGTTCAGGATGTTGATAGCAGGAGAGTCTGTGCATGGGAATTGGGCAACAGAGGTTATATGGGAGCTCTCTATACTTTCTGCTTAATGTTCCTGTAAACGCAAAATACTCAAAAAATAAAGTTTATTAAGGAAAGTTTACACTGTGTTTATGATTCCATTTATATAACATTATTAAAATGATGAAAGTATGGAAATGAGGGACAAAATTTTAGTGGTTATTTAAAGAGTATGTTGGGGCAGTAGTGAGACAGGTATGATTACAAAAAGGCAAGAGGAGAGATCTTTGTGGCATTGGAACTGTTCAATATCTTGACTGTGCTGGTGGATCATAAACCTACAAGATGATAAAACTGTATAAAAATAAACCCACACAAACACACACATGAATACATGTAAAACTGGGGAAATTTGAATAAGACTGGTGGATTGACTTAATGCCAATATCCTGGTTGTTAATACACTATAGTTGTTACCATTGGGGAAATGGAGCAAAGTGTACAAGAGATCACTCTGTATTATGTATCGCAATTGCATGTGAATCTATGATTTTCTCAATTTTTAAAAATTTCCTACCTTAAATTCTCCAGCAGATTTTAATCCATTTGAGTTTATTTTTGTACATAGTGTAAAATAAAGGTCCACTTTTATTTTTCTACATATGGATATCCAGTTTTCCCAACATTATTTACTAAAGAGACTATCCTTTCTCCCTTGTGTGTTCTTGGCACCTTTGTCAAAGATCATATAAATGTAAATGCACAGATTTGGATTTCTGGGCTCTCTATTTTGTTCCATTGGTCTACAAGTCTGTTTTTATGCTAGTACCATACTGTTTTGATTAGTATAGCTTTGTAGTATATTTTTAAATAAAGTAATATGATGCCTCCAGCTTCACTCTTCATGTTCAAAGTTGCTTTGGCTATTTGGCATCTTTCATAGTTTCATATAAATTTTAGAATTTTTTCTATTTCTGTAAAAAGTGCCATTGGAGTTTTCACAGGGATTGCATTGAATCTGTAGATTGCTTTTCTCCAGCAGGTTTTAAAAACGACAAGAGAAATTTGCCATAGCTTTCTTAATTTTACTGCAGCTAAAGTGAATATTGACCCTGCAGCTAAAGTCATCAGTACATGAAAATGAGGTGTTTCTACTCTTAGAGAACATAAAGCTATTCTAGCCTTGGAAGTTACCTGGTGTCCCAGCAGCTAGGACTTGCCTTGCTTCACCCTGTGAGATTTCTCATCTTCCCTTCCAGAGATCAAAGGAACCAAAGTCCACATAGTCAGGTCACACCAGTATTTGGTGGCTCGCAAGCTTTGTTGATATTACTGAAACATCTATGAAAATGATCTGCTTAACTAGGTTGAAACAGCAACTTATGTTCCAGGAGAGAAAAAAATATGCTAGGGAAAACTATATTATAATGATGCAGCCAGCCACCAACAATGGCATGAAGCAGGATACAAAGAGAATTGGAAACAGCTATGGAGAATTTTCTTCTTTTCAGCAACCAAAGGGGTGCACATCTGACATTCTCTTAGAAATTAAAAGAATCAAGCTGGATGCCTCTAAGGTATTCACTGTGCTTAAAACTGAATTTCATTTGAACCATGAAATTGCATTTACTCTCTAAAGTGTAAAATGTTAAATATTTTGGTGGGATTTAATTGATCCCATTTGATAAGAAGTATCAGACTCTGATGCCAATAGAAGAAAAATTTTGAATATTAAACTAAGAAACATCAAAGAGTCAGAGCATTAATGAAAGAACAGGTGTGGATCAAGGGAGGGAAAGAGAAAGAGAGACTGGTTCACTGTTTGTTTTGAATTTTCATTTTCTTATGTTTTTTTCCTTTTTCTTCTTCTCCTTCCCCTCCACTTCCTCTCCACCTTATTTTTACTTTAAGATTCCTCATTCAGCCAGATCTCCCAAGTTTTACCTTAGTGGTTCATCTCTGGGCTTCAGACATGTCTAAATTTTCTGATAGATTTTGACAGACTAGGGGGAAAGAAATGGAAGAAGGAAATATAGAAATCTATTTGCATTCAGGACTGAGAAGCAAGCCCCTTGGGAAGGAATACATGCAAGGAATATAAATGATTTGGCTGAGCAACAAAACCTTCATCATTGGCATGGAGAAAGCATAGTGTTTCTCATAAGCCATCTGTCTTGACCTATGGACTCATATCTCAGTCCTAATTTTGTGTATGTGTGTGTGTATATATATATATGCATGCATGTATATCTTTTTATATATGACCTTTTCACTAAAATCTCTAAAGTCAAGACGGCACCACTGTGGTATCCATGTAACAAGAGAACCTAAAGTAGGAAAGAGACACTCTCCTTACCTTTTCTGGGGAAAGTTAAGTATGGCCAAGGGCCCCACAGTGTGCTGAAGGCCTCACATAGTGTGATACTGCCTTAGAACACCCAAGGGCAATGTTAGTACTTAGTGGTTGTGCCTAATAGGGGACTGTGGATACCAGATGCAACTAGCAAAATGCCTTTGCATAGAGAGTAATAGTTTAAAGGGATATATTTGTGAGATCACAGGAAACATCCTGGAGATGCCAAGAAATGTATAGAAGAGATGTGAGTGGTAATGGAAATCACAAAATAACAGGTAGTAAAAAATCCTGCAGGTGGAAATAAAATAACAAGGAGAAAAATAAACATAATCTACTGTAATTAATGTAAGTACATTTTTGCCTGTAAAAGCTAGTGTAGCTCAGGGAAATACAAGTCTCATGTGCATACAATTTACTTTCACTTAACAAAGAAGGTACTGAATTGGAATAATTGACTATAGTCACTTCCCAGATCTACTTCAGCAAACCCTAGTTATGTCTTTTTATTAATTACATAGTTAGCAAAATATAGTTTTCTCCATTGACAGGTGTCTATGTTGGCCTATAAATGTGCTTGTAAATAAAAACTTCATAACATAATCCTATATATACAATTGATTGACTGTCAGCAATAAATTCAAAGCAGCATATAACATGCCATCAGCTGCCCAGTAGATGTAATCTTTTACCTCTGAGCAAATTATCTGTAAGATATACTTCAAGGTAGAATATAGAAGTTCTTCATTAAAAGTACATTCAGGTCATACTTTCAACACCCACTAATTTGTTCCATAATTTTACCTAAGTATCTCATAAATTCCTTCTTACTAAATGGAAGCATTTATTAATTTCCATGGCTACCTTTGGTCATTATTTTCACACCTGAATTGCACTCTTTTAATAGCATTCTTTTAAACGTCAGTCCTTCCTTTGTTCTATTTCATGCCCTCTTGCTTTTGAACTATTTTATCCTTGAAGAGTTTTCTTTCATATACTTTTTTATACTCCAAACTTTATCTGCCTTAGTCATGTTCACCTTTCATTTCCTCTCAGAATAAGTACTGACCTTATTTTTTTTAGTCTCCAAAAGGAGCTATGACCTAAAGATATTTTATCATCACGGCTGTCTTTATTGATGCTTTGTTACCATTCCTGTCATATAAGGTTCAGGATTACGCGAAGAGTTCCAAGTGGGATGGCTTCCCAGCCCTTTGAAATGCTTTTATAATGATACGTTGCAGAGATCCATTAGCCTTCCTGATTATTAAGATGCTACTGCTTTGTTTCATTTCACCATAAATTTTTGTTGCTAATATTTCCTTACAACTTGTTATTTTCTTACACATTTTTCCAGGCTTTTACCTGATCTGTTTCTTTATTCAAAAAGATTCCACATGGTTTCGAATATGACATATAGCAAATGCAGTGACAAATACACTTTCTTTAGTAAAAAAATTAGTAAAAAAAATGCTCCAAAAGGTTCTGTTTTCTTAATTCAGTCAATTTATATAAATCTTTTTCTCGCCAAAATGCTACTTGGTTGTCCTCTACATGGTATTTTCACAAAGAAAACAAGTTCCAGGTAAAGGTAAAAGGGAATAAATGGAAATAGTATGGAATTATCCCTCCTATTAGAAGAGGAGCCCAGTAAATAATATTACTGATTATCAACTAGTAGAACCAGCTCTATATGAAGAGCATATTGTGTGGACTTTTCTGGAAGCATTTATGTGATTTGAAAGTGTTTACATAGAGTACAAAAAATCTAAAACTTGCAACTAACAAATAGCCTAAAAATTCAGAGAATTTATAGTTGATTATCAACTTTGGGTTTTGACTGGCTTCATGTTGGTTTTTATTTTACAGTTCTAAGAATCAGGTAATGAAACCCTCAGGCACAAATCAAGGTCACAAACAAGTTGGTCACGCAACTGAAATGAAAAGTCACAGCAGCCATGTATGCACAGCAGACAATCCTTTGCCTTATTGTCTTAGAACACTGCCAATTTTGCTTTCTTGTTCACGTTTCAAGAAGAAATGCCAATTAGTGAACTCTGAGGTATGTCATCTTCTTTTTCCTTCCTCACCAATTACCCTGAAACTAACAAGCTCAAAATTATTTATCACACCTACATCTTACCTGCAGTGTCCAAAGCAAAGGAAAAAGATATCTCTGGACACTGTCCTAGAAATATAGCAATAGTCTACTCGCACAGGTAAAACAGGAACAAACCAGCAAAGGGTCAAAGGAAATAACCCATCTCCCTGCTTTCTTTCTTTTATATGGATTTACCTTTTCCTCTTTCTCTTCCCACTGTCAAACATGCTTATCTAAGAAAGTTCCTGCAGAGATATATCTCTTTTTAATGGAAACGCCTTCAGCCATTTTGGTGAACTTTCTTGAGAGTTGGAGGAGGGAGGGCGTGACTTGTTCACATTCATAACCTCAGCATGTAGCACAATATTTGCCATGTAACAGGCACTCAAAAATGTTAAATGAATAAAATATAGTTTGTGCATGCTTGCTATAGTCTGAATGTTCTGTGTCTCCTGAAATTCTTATGTTAAAGTCCTGACCCTCAAGGTGATGTTAGAGGCTCTTTGGGAGGTGATTAGGTCATAAGCCTTCATGAATAGGATTAGTGCCCTTATAAAACAGGAGCTAGTTCCCACGTTTTCACCACATGAGGACACAAAAGGTGCCATCTGTGAACAAGGAAATGGGTCCTCAGACACCAAATCTGTGGCTCTTTGATCTTGGACTTCCCAGACTCCAGAAGTGTGAAAAATAGATTTTTGTTGTTTGCAAGCTGCCCAGTTTATGGCATTTTGTTATAGCTGCCCAAATGAACTAAGACAATACTATAGCCACTTTTAAATTATGCTTACATTTGACATTTGACATCTCACCGGCAAATTATTGTAAATATGCCAAATACAGGTAATGAAATCATATTATATGACTTCTGATTTTTCTCCTCTGGGTTGACTATCATGTTTCACTCATTAAGACTTCTCTCACCTGTGCAAACTCCACAGAAACATGAGCTGAAATCACTACGAGTAGCATAGTGGTTAAGAGTGCTAACTCTGGAGTCAAACTGTCTGGATTCCAATCCCTGCCCTATTTACCAGCTGTTGGCCTTAGGCAACCCAATTAATTGTCCCATGTGTCAGTTAATCTATCTGTTATACTACTACCTACTTCATCAAATTTTATGAGCATTAAAACAGATAATGTTTACATATCGTTTAAAATAGTGCCTGATACATAAGAATTATATAAATTTTTTTTATTATACTTTAAGTTCCAGGGTACGTGTGCAAGAATTATATAAATGTTTTTTAAAAGTTGTCTTCTAAGACATTACCATCAGTTAGTTAACTAAAAAGAATTTAGTATGTGTTATAGGAAACAGAATGCCATAATAGGCTACTAAGTATCTCTATGAAAATATTTCATGCCAAGCATGGTGCAATGGCTCACGCCTGTAATCCAGCACTTTGGGAGGCCAAGGCAGGAAGATCACTTGAGTCCAGGAGTCCAAGATCAACGTGGGCAACATGGTGAGACCCTCTCTTTACAAAAAATGTAGAAATTAGCTTGGTATGGTGGTGCACACCTGTGATCCCAGCTACTCAGGAGGCTGAGGTGGGAGAATTGCTTGAACCCAGGAGTTTGAGGCTGCAGAGAGCCATGTTCACACCACTGTACTCCAGCATGGGTGACAAAGCAAGACCCTGTCTCAAAAAACAAGAAAATTTTGCATGCAAAATGTAATATCTAATCAGTAGATCCCATCAAAATCTGAGAATAATTGACTGCATGATGGTGGGGATAAGTCATAAAACTAAATTTTTCTTCCATATCTTTCTATTCACACTCACTTAAATATTTTAAAGTAGTATTTCTGCTTAAATTGTGGAAATGCTTTTTGAGGCATGTTATTTCTCCTTGCCAAATGGAGGAGGCTTTTGCTCTGACAACATGGAGAACAAGATATGCTGAAAAATCCTTCCAAACAAAACACCATGTGAGATAACTTATAATAAAGAGTATTTAAAATATGTAGCTAAGAACACAGAAGGTTAGGAAAATCGTCAGAGGCCACAAAATGAAGAAGATTTAGGGATACAATGTGATATATTAGTACTTGAATGACTCCTGAGGGCATATGCCAATTCCTGGAATATGAAGCTTTAAAACTTAAGGCTAGATGGGTGGTTTAGAAAGAAATTTGTCACAAAATAGCAATACTTATTATAAAGCTAGTGTATATATGACTGTTTAGTCATGCTGCAGGGATAGAAAACTAGACCAATGGAACAGAAAAAGATATCCAAAAACTAACACACACATCTATGAATATGTGATATAACAGAAGTGTTACTACAACTTGGGGAAATATGATAGATCATAGAAGTTTCATTACAAATTATAAATAAATGGTCTGGAGTAATTGAATAGATTCGTCTTTAAAAAAAAAAAAAAAAAGGTCTGCCCCCTGCCACAGACTAAAATCACTACCAAGCAAATTAAAGACCTATGAAAAAAGCAAACTATAAAGCTCTTAGAATATTATACAGGAAAACATGTTCAAGATTTCAGGGAAGGGAAATATATCATAAACAAGATTTACAAAAACATGGACAAAAATTGCTAACCATAAAGGAAATAATGATAAATTTAACTACGTTAAAATTAAGAACTCTCATTAAAAGACACCATAGAAAGAGGAGGTAAATGAGCCCCAAAGTGGAAAAAGGCATTTGCAACACATATAATCAACAAAGGATTAGTACAGAGAAAACATAAAGAATGCTACTAATTTATGTGAAAGAAACAAACTACCTAATAGAAAACAACAGGCTAAAGATATAAACACGTTTTAAAAACATTTTTATTGCATGTATGTATGGGGTACAAAGTGATGTTTTGATATATGTGTACATTGTAGAGTGATTAAATTAAGCTAATTAACATATCCATCACCTCACATATTTATCATTTTTGCAGTGAGAACATTTAAGATGTACTCTCTTAGCAATTTTCAATATACAGTACATTATTGTGAATGGCAGTCACTATGCTGTACCTTAGATCTCTCTAGATTGCATCCATCCTGAATAACTGAAACTTTGTACCCTTTTGCCAGCATCTCCCCAGACCCCCCATTCTCTAGCCCCTGGTAACTGCCATTCTACTCTCAACTTCTGTTAGTTCAACATTTTTAGATTTCACATATAAGGGACATCGTGCAGTATTTTTCTTTCTGTGCCTGGCTTATTTCACTTTTTTCTCTCTCCTCCTGTGAAAAGAAGAATCTAATTGACCACTACATATACGAAAAGATGATCAACCTCACTAGTAGTCAGATAAATGCAAATTTAAAATGTTGAAATACCATTGCATAAATACCAGATTGTCAAAAATAATAGAAGCCAAACAACATCAAGTGTTGGTGAGACCATCAAGCAAAGAAAATTCTCATGCATTGCATGTAGGAGTACAAATTGCTAAAGCCATTTTGGAAAACGACTTGACATTAACTAGTGTATTAGTTAGTTTTCAAGCTGCTAATAAAGACATACCTGACACTGGATAATTTATAAAAGAAAGAGATTTAATTAACTCACAATTAAGCATGGCTGGGGAGGCCTCAAGAAACTTACAATCATGGTGAAAGAGGAAGCAAACATATCCTTCTTCACATGGTGGCAGCAAGGAGAAGTACAGAGTGAAGTAGAAGAAAAGTCCTTTATAAAACCATCAGACCTCATGAGAACTCACTCACTATCATGAGAACAGCATGGGGGTAACCACCCCCATGATACAATTGCCTTCCACCAGGTCCCTCCCACGACACGTGGGTATTATAGGAACTACAATTCAAGATGAGATTTGGGTGGGGACACAGCCAAACCACATAATTCCACCCCTCACCCCTCCAAAATTTCATGTCCTCACATTTCAAAACACAATCACGCTTTCCCAACAGTACCACAAAGTCTTAAGTCACTCCAGCACTGACTCAAAAGTCCATGTCCAAAGTCTTATCTGAGACAAAGCAAGTCCAGTCTGCCTATGAGCCTGTAAAATCAAAAGCAAGTTAGTTATTTCCTAGATAGAATGGAGGTACAGGCATTAGGTAAATACAGCCATTCCAAATTGAAAAAATTGGCCAAAACAAAGGGGCTACATGCCCCATGCAAGTCCAAAATCCAATTGGGCAGTAAATAAATCTTAAAGCTTCAAAATAATCTTCTTTGACTCCATGTCTCATATCCAGGTTATGCTCATGCAAGAGATGGGCTCCTATGACCTTGGACATCACTGCCCTGTGGCTTTCCAGGGCCCAGCCCCACTCCTGGCTCCTTTCATGGCTGGCATTGAGGATCTGCAGCTTTTCCAGGTGCACCGTGCAAGGTGTCAGTGAATCTACCATTCTGGAGTCTAGAGAATGTTGGCCCTCTTCTCACAGCTCTACTAGGCAGTGCCCCAGTGGGGACTCTATGTGGGCTCCAACTCCACATTTGCCTTCCACACTGCCCTGGCAGAGGTTCTCCATGAGGACCCTGCCCCTGTGGCACACCTGCCTGGACATCCAGGCCTTTCCGTACATCCTCTGAAATCTAAGCCAATGTTCCCAAACCTCACTTCTTGACTTCTGCACACCTGCAGGCCCAATACCATGTGGAAGCTGCTAAGGATTGGGGCTTACACCCTCTGAAGCAATGGTTTGAGCTGTACATTGGCCCTTTTTAGCCACATCTGGAGAGGCTGGGACACAGGGCACCAAGTCCCAAGGCTGCACACAGCAGGGGGGTCCTGGACCTGCCCCACAAAACCATTTTTCCCTCCTAGGCCTCTGGGCCTGTGATAGGAGGGGCTTCTATTAAGTTCTCTGACATGCCCTGGAGACATTTTACCCATTGTCTTGGTGATTAACATTTGGCTCCTCATTACTTATGCAAATTTATGCAATGGACTTTAATTTCTCCTCAGATGATGGGTTTTCTTTTCTACAGCATCAGGCTGCAAATTTTCCAAACTTTTATCCTGTGCTTCCTCTTGAATGTTTTGCCACTTAGAAATTTCTTCCACTAGATACCCTAAATCATCTCTCCCAAGTTCAAAGTTCCACAGATCTCTAGGGCAGGGACAAAATGCTGCCAGTCTCTTTGCTAAAGCATAACAAGAGTCAGCTTTGCTCCAGTTGCCAACAAGTTCCTCTTCTCCATCTGAGACCACCTCACTGGACTTCATTGTTCATATCACTATCAGTATTTTGGTCAAAGCTATTCAACAAGTCTCTAGGAAGTTGCAAACTTTCCCACATTTTCCTGTCTTCTTCTGAGCCCTCCAAACTATTCCAACCCCTGCTTGTTGCCCAGTTCGAAAGTCGCTTCCACATTTTCAGGTATCCTTATATTAGCACTCCACTCTACCAGTACTAATTTACCATATTAGTCCATTCTAATGCTGCTAATAAAAACATACCTGAGACTGGGTAATTTCTAAAGGAAAGAGGTTTAATTGATTCACACTTCAGCATGGCTGGGGAGCCCTCAGGAAACATGCAATCATGGCAGAAGGGAAAGCAAACACATCCTTCTTCACATGGTGGCAGCAAAGATAAGTGCATAGAGAAGGTGGAGAAAAGCCCCTTATAAAACCATCAGATCTCATGAGAACTCACTCACTATCAAGAGAACAGCATAGAGGTAATCACCTCCACGATTCAATTACCTCCCACCAGGTCCCTCCCACAACACATGGGGATTACGAGAACTACAATTCAAGATGAGATTTGAGTGGGGACAGGGCCAAACCATATCAGTTAGGAAAGTGATAATGCACATACACTAAAATGGAATTTTATAAACCTTGATCTATTGAAAAGAAGGTAGAAAAAGCAAAAATATATATAAAGGACAAATAAAAACTATAAAATAAAATGGAGGCATTAAAGTCAAATATGTTATAAATTACCTTAAGCATAAAATTGAAAATTAAATGTTTACATTTACCAATAAAGAAAGATTACCATGTTAGATTTTTTTAAGTGTTCAGTTTCATGCTCTTTACAAGACACTGAGGACTAAACTCTGAACTTTTTTCTTCTCTTCTCTAAAGTCTTATCTAAAGGGCTCGGGGAGTCATGCCCTACAAACCATAAAGTCTCATCAGAGGAGTTTATTTAACCCTAAATAATGTGGCTCACTTTCCAAACTGACTCTGGCATAATATCACATGACAAATAAGGAAGGAAATAAAAAATATTTTAACTCCAAATGTATTTCCTTGCCATATCTGGAAACTGCCCTGCAGTCATCTCTTGTGGGGAAAAATCCACATTCTGTAGAGAATCACTTCTTCCCTTTTTTCCATGCATTTTTCCGGATCTGGAAGATAGTCAACTAAGAGTCTGGCACCCTTTTTAAGTCCATTAAGAAACATTTACAGTCTATTCTCTCTGAAGCCTGCTACTTTAGGGCTTCCTCTGCACAATAAGAATTGTGGTCTCCACATTCCTTTATCTTAACCCAGACATTTCCTTTCTATTGATCCTAGTTCTCAACCAATTGTCAACCAGAATTTTTTTTAATCTACCTATAACCTGGAAGCCCCTCACCCCTCACCTCGACCCCCTGCCCCACTTCAAGTTGTCTTGCCTTTCTGAACCAAACCAATGTACCCCTTGATTGTATTTGGAGAAGAGCAAGTAATTCAGTATGACCACAGCACGTGGCCAGAAGAAAAGGACCTGACCTAGAGCAGTGGCAGAGAGGATGCAGAAAAGGGACTTCCAGCAGAACTGATGGAGCAAAGGGAAATGAGTGACTTACTGGAAAGTAACGGAGAAGGTGGCATGGATGATTACTCACAGGGAGATTATGGTGGCCTTATCTGAAAAGAGGATTAGCAAAGTAGGTTGTGAAGCAGTTGTGTTTGAACCTGAAGAGAATGTTTCAACTGAGTGTCATCTGTGTATACTTGGTTGCTGGAGCAGTGAGCTTACATAAATTTGCCTGCAGAATGTCTAAAATAAGAAATAAGAGCACCAAGGATGGCCTAGTTTACTCTAGATGCTTAGCAACCTGGTGGTAAGTACCAGAAGAATTGAGGGTCTAAGTCAGAGGGTGACCAAAATCCAAATTACTTATAAAATGTCTCCTCAGTATACTAGTAAGCAGTTAGCAGTCTGGGATGGTAAAGCGTTTCTAAACCTTTGCTATCAGATTCTCTCAGGACATACAAATCTTTTCTAATAGTAGAACAATCTGGGCCAAGGAAAAAGAAAAAAGAAAATTCATTTTGTGTTTTAATTTTAATTATTTTTATTTAAGACCTAGTAGAGCAGAAATTGTCTACTGTCTGCAAAATATTGAGCATGTGCTTGATATCAATCCTTTGTGAAAGCTTCCAAACCAAACCTGAGAGATTCCAGGGTATGTTTCTCTGGCTTCTCAGTCCCTCTCGTGGTCTATGTTCTTTTCCTCAGTATAAAAGTGGCAGAACTATTTTGCATGGAGGAAGAAAAAGAACTAGCCTATCAAGCTAGCTATTGTTCAAGCTATAGTTCTGCCACCAGGCAAGCTTAAGTTAGCGTAGTAGAAATTGCCTGGATCTATATTTCTGTATATATAATGAATTCTGGCATGAAGGTTTCTTTAACAAAAGATTTGGACATGTTGTATGAAAACTGGAATTGTTAAATTGGCATAGTAAATAATACAGTTTGTGTTTACTTTTGCATTCCCAAAGCTTCTTTTTTTAGAATTATGGGGGATAGAGTATTGTGTTTTTTGCTACATTAAAAACCACTAATGAAGATGAGAGAAAGCACTTGCAAGATCTTTAGGATCAAATATCCTAACAAACCACCTAGTTATGTGTTGGTATGCAAAGACAATCATAAATTAATAGATATTTACTATGTGATATTTACCAAGTATATCTGAAGACAGGAGAAAATACATTTGTAGAACATTGATCTGCCCAGCTAATGTGATCTGAGTGATAAATTCAGGCCCACTTGCCAACAAGCCTGGTCAGTTGAAACTCCCTACTTAAAGGCCATTTTTAAGCACTATTATCAAAGTTCCCTTGGGGTGGATTTTCTCATTTGCCCTTCCAGATTCAGTCTCTAATTTCTTCTTCCTGTTCTGGACCCAAAGAGTTGATCTCTGTGTACCACATCTCAAGGCTCCCTTGCCCTCCGGCTTCTGGTTAAGATCTTCCCAATAAAGAGCAACTCAGGAAACCAGACAGACAGTGGAAGGAAAGAAAAGTCAGAATACTTAATCCTCACCATCCCCCTCACACACTCCCCATGGGCGCCTCAGGTTTGTAGTAGCTGCAGTCTTCTCTCTATATTCACAGCTCCTTATGGAAGGTGTCTACTCCGTGGCAAGGAATGGTAATAATTTCTCACTGTGAATAGTCCCACAGTGGTTCCCTATCACTTGTTGATGTCCCTGAGCTCTTCATTTAGGGAATTCACTAACTAGTTCCTTTACTAAATTCTCTCCAGTTACCCCATCTGTCAAGCGTGCCTTCTGTTTCCTGCTCAGATCATGACTAACAGAACCCATTTGGAAATGTAGTGTATCTACTAAGAGAGGAGTAACACAATGAAACAAAATTGAGCTACTTCTCCATTAAATCTGAAGTCCTTATTAAAATATGGAAATGGGTTTGTGTTTTGATTAGCCTGCATTCAAGGTTTTGACTCCAGAAGGATGAGACATAGAATAGGCATGTTTTGATGAAGGTAGAATTAAAAATCAGTGTGGTAAGTGCCCACAATGGAGCAGCTGGGACAGCAGGAACAGCAGCAGCTGGGAGAGGGAACTTTCTAAAAGAGAATGAGGAAAGTTGAAAACCATCTCTTTTGATTCCTAGGGGATACCAGAGAGGAGAATGAAACCACCACTTTGCAGTTTTGCCTAAGGCTAACTTTACTTATGCTCCCTAATGTTTTAGCTCAATATCCAATCACTGCAATTAAGAGAAACTATTGTTCTTTTCTTTATTCTAAGAGCTTATGCCTGTTTTCTATTTTATTATATGGCTTTCAGAAGTAAAGACCCAAATAAAATTTATTTTCTCCTAGTAAGAGTTTCTAAGATTAATATACTTGCACACAAAAATAAGCTGGTATACAGGTACGCATCAGCCAGTATACTTCATGTCTGGTAACACCACTGCCTTTCAACTTGCAACTCTTGCCACCTAGTGGCAAAATTTGGTCTTACAACTTGAGGATAACAACAAGTATGATTTCGGCTCTAAAAAAGACAACTTGAAATTCTTGATTTCTTACTTAAATCAAAATTTCCTACATTATACCATCATGTGGTAAAAAGTCGTCCACAGGATGATACTGTATAATGGACTTTTTAAATAATTAAAGCTAATTAAAATTAATATTAAAACATAAACATTTTGTCTTAGGATTCTGTCCACCTCCTTTCTTCCTTTAAGGCAAGATCAAGGGCCAGCCAAGTAAACCGAAAGCAAATTTGTTTGAAAATTAGCAATAGACATGTCTTTGACTTACTACTATCATAGTTTTCTTACAATAGTTATGAAATCTACAGGTTTCCAGTTAAACTTATTATCCCCTTTTCATGTCATATATTACAAAAATATTTTTAAATCTTATTCCTTAATTCAGAGGAGAGTAAATTCAATAGCCCACTTTTTATTTTCCCATGCACAACGTTCTTTCAAATTTAAGAAATTTTTTTTGTGTAAAGTACTGCTCTAGGTATTGACTTAATTGGAGAAAGAAAACCAGAAAAAAATCTTTGCCCTCACTTAAGTTATTAATTATATTTTTGAATACTCATAGAATTATAGGTATGTATAATTGAGAAGATAATTTAGAGATTAGCTAATTCAACCTGAATGTTTTGTTTGTAATTTTTTATTTACAAAGAAGAAAACTGAAATGCAATTGGTAGGAACAGAAGTTCTCAAAAGCCTATCTTTGAGTATTCACAATACTTTGGATTATAGCAAAGTTATATTTACAATGAGCTGTGGTACTTGTTACATTAAAAAAAAAAAAAAAAAACCTGAGTGTAACCCCAAGCAACTACTTTTTCAATACCCATCTCCTCTCTGTACCGGTCCCACCTGTATTAGTCTCCTGTCTGCCACTTTCTATGTTCTTCCCAGCGTATGTATTTGCTTCCCTGGTCTATCCCCAGGACTAGGGTCTTCTACTGGAAACCAACCTGCCTGACTAGGCCCCTGATGCCCCTTCTGGTTCCCACTCAGCCCTCCTTCAGCTGCAGGGTCAGATCCTGCTTTTTACCTGCCTCGGGCGGGCTTTCTTCTGAGACTGCAAAGAAGTCCTGGAAATCTACCTGAATTGGGGCAATATTGGCAATATCTACCTACTCAGCTATTGAATTATTATGATTTGCCTGATTCCGGTAGTGATACTTTGGTATCTGGTAGTGATACTTTGCAAACCACATATAAGTGTGACATCCTCTTTGAACGTTATGCTTTTATTTTTTTTTTTTTCATTAGTATCAACCATTGCCTTTGGAGCAGTGCCTCTAGCTCCAATTAATTTTCCAGTGGCTTTCTAGTTTATTTAGGCTCATTCTTATTATGAGACTTGCAAAATACCAACTAATAGATAATAGTAGAAGCTACAGCAGTTGACATGATAACCCAAGAATACGTATAAAAAAATAGGAAGGGAAGATACTCGGTATCACTTTGGAGACCCAATCCTCTCCCATTCTCAGGTCATGTGCTTCTGAGAGAGACATGGCCCAAATCCCAACTGCAGGAGTGAGTATGTGATCCAAGACTGGTAATTCCAAGTCCTCCCATCCCTTGATCGTAGTGACTGATTCAGGGATGATCTCAGAACCTAAGCTGGGCCAGTAAGTAACTATAGACATCTATAAAGTTATTGGGAACATCTGCTATCTGTAAAGATAACAGAAAAAAGGTAGTCGCTTCTCCCCAGCTTGTTAGCTATAAAGATAATATAAGCTGAGAGCACTTAGTGGTCAACTTTGTCATTACATGGGACTCACAGAATGGAGGACGCATAGCAGAGAGAGTCTGATGATGACATTGGAGTCCATGAATGAGGCCCACTCTACATTCTGTTATTGCTTCGGTTGTTCCGAATTGGGTTTTGATCACTAGCACCAGAGCATAGGACTTTGGCTAGCACCCATATTTTTGGTTGTATATGAAAAACAGGAAGAAATTAAATAAATTACATATGCTTACCAAATATTTATGAAGAGTAACAAGAAGACAAAGAGTTAAACAAAACGTGGTGGTGGTATAAGATGTAAGATGGATCAACAAAATCAAAATTAAAGTAAGTTCATGTGGTATGGAGATGAAGAAGAAATTATTGGACTTGATGATTAGATGATAATAGGTGACTTATAATAAAAGAGTTGTGGATATAAAAAACAGTATCAAGAATAGTGGTATATTCGTTCATTTTCACACTGCTGAAAAAGACATACCCAAGAATAAGCAATTTACAAAAGAAAGGTTTAATGGACTCACAGTTCCATGTGGCTGGGGAGATCCCACAATCATGGCAGAAGGTGAAAGACACGTCTCACATGGCAGCAGGCAAGAGAAGAGTGAGAGCCAAGTGAAACGGGTTTCCCCTTATAAAGCCATCAGATCTCCTGAGACTTATTCACTACCATGAGAACAGTATGGGAGAAACCACCCCCATGATTCAATTATCTCCAAACGGGTCCCTCCCACAACATGAAGGAATTACAATTCAAGATGAGATTTGGGTAGGGACACAGCCAAATCATGTCAAGTGGCAAATGAAGATGTAGAAATAGCAAGGGTTGACTTCTTCCAGAGGGTGGGTAGTAATGAGCATAAGGGGCAGAGGGCCAGGGCAGTCCCTTAAGAGGAAGCAGAGGCAAGAGTTGGCACAAGGAAGAGAAGAATTAAATACAATTTGAAGTTTAAAAAAAAAACAGAATATTAGGGAATTCATACCTAAGACAGCCTATATTTTCAGTGACTAAGTGAGAAAATATTCTACTAAGAAGCATATTGAATGGATTAAAGAGTCCATGAGTTTGTAAAAGTTTGAAGCACTGATCATGGGGAATGAAAGAGGGAATCACTAGAGATTACTAAAAGAATACTCAATTCCAAACGTCATTAAATCCCAAAGAAATATTCTAATGAACCAAAACCCATTGGTGCAAAATCTAATTTCTTGTTATAAGAATAAAAAGGGAGACTAGATTGTGGATACATAAAACAGTTAAGCATAAATACATAGGAAGACAGCCTGGGGAACAAAGTGAGACTGACCCTGTCTCTACAAAACATAAAAAAAAAAATAAGCCTAGTGTGGTTGTGTACACCTGTAGTCCCAGCTACTCAGGAAGCTGAGGTTGGATGATTGCTTAAGCCTGGGAGGTTAAGGCTGCAGTGAACCGTGATCATGCCACTGCATTCTAACCTGAGTGACAGAATGAGATCTTATCTCAAAAAAAAAAGGAAGAGTCAACATTCAAATAATAATTAGCACAACATTCATTCATATTCATTCATTCAACAAGTTGTTATAAAGAGCATACTATGTGTCAAGCAGTTTCAGGCAACTGGGGATTCAGTAGAAAAGACACTATAAATGTCCCTCCTCTCATGGGGCTTACATTATAGTGCAAGAGACAAATAATAAACACATAAGCAAATAATGTTTAATATAATGTCAGGCAGTAAGAGTTCTAGAGTTAGTTGTATGATGAAAACTAAATCAGGGCAAGAGGATAAAAAGTGACTGGGGTTGCTCTTTTAGAAAATGTTGTCAAGGAAATTTTCTCCAGGATAAAAAATGTGCAGATACCTGCATAAGTAAGGTAGAGAGCCATGTGAAGGTCTGGAAAATGAGCACTTTGGGCAGAATGAACAGCAAATGCAAAGGGCCAGAAATAGGAATGGGCTTTGTGTGTTTGAGAAGTAGCTAGATTTTATTTTTTAAAATAGATTTGTGTATATTTAAGATCTACAACATATGATGGGATACATACAGATAGTAAATGTTACTATAGTGAAGCAAATTAACATATCCACTAGAAAGTTATGTGTCTGAATCAGCTTGAAGGTGAAAAACAATAATAGGAAAGGAGATTGAAAAGGTAGCTATATCATAAAGAGCCTTATTGATGAGAGATGTGGCCTTTGCTCTCTATGATATGGAGGATTCTGAACAGAAAAAAATGACATAATGGCTTATTAGTCAAAAAGATTGAACTGCTGTGCATATGTGGAGGCTAGCATGGAAAAATCTCTGTAACTTCTGCCCAATTTTGCTGTGAACCTAAAACTTATTTAAAAGATAAAGTCTATTTTAATGTGCATAAAATATAAAGTAAAATAAAGACAGAATTAATGTCCTAAAAAAGAAAGTGTAGAGCAAGAATGCCAGTTTGTGGCTACAGAAATCAAGGCAGAAACAGAGGTTTGGTGTATGAGTGTGACCCCAGGGAGAATCAGGAATGGAATATATATTTTCATATAGATGACTTTTAAAACCATGGGACCAGATGAGAAACTGTAAATAGAGAAGAGAAGAAGTTCAAGGACTGAGTTTGGGATGTATTATCATCTGATAATGAACCCTATAAGGAAAAAAATGTGCTTGAGCATAACAATGGATTAAACAAAGAAGAGAGAGGGGGAGAGGGAGAGAGACAAAAGAAATTTGAATAGCTGTAAGTCTTTTGCTTCAAATTAGTAAGTCTCCTAAAAAACTAAAAGCTTACTTTATATGTTATTTTAATCATATTACCACTGCCAAAAAAAACCAGTGGAAACTTTTTGATGGCAACAGCCATAAAAGTTCAAATAAATTATATGGTAAGAGCTGATGTATAATCGATATATGGTAATTATGCCATTAAACCATTCTTTGCAGTTTCTTCTCTGCAGTGTTTTAAAAGTTCTCTTTCATACCTCCAACTACTTATTTATCACAGTATTGTCAGATATTTATTATACATCATTATCACTGACATGAAAACTTATACAAATTCATTGCCCTTGGAAATAATGCACTCTCCAAAATTATCTTACAGTGATTTGGGGGAGTGCATTATTTCTAAATAATCCCCTATATACTTGCATTGGTTCTTAGAATAAAGCAAGATTACATATTTCCTTGCTGTCAACCTTGACAGGTAAATTTTTTTGTTTTATCCATTTGCCTACGTATTGGTCAGCTCAGGTTACTATCACAAACTATCATGTACCCAAAAGGCTTAAACAACAAACATAGATTTCTCATGGTTCTGGAGGCTGCAAAGTCCAAGATCAAGGTGTCGGCCAATTCAGTTCCTCGTGAGGGTTCTCTCTTCCTGGATTGCAAATAACTGCCTTCATTCTGTGTTCTCACATGGCAGAGAGAGAGAATGAGCTTTCTGGTGTCACCCCTTATAAGGACATTAATTCTATCAAATCAGAGGCCCATACTTATGACCTCATTTAGCCTTAATTACTGTCTTATTTCAAACACAGTCACATTCACTGGAAGTCTTTTCAACACATAAATTTTAGGGGGACAAAATAAGTCTGTAACAATCCCATTGATTGATACATAAAATTTACAGATATGTACACATGTAGTACTTTGGGTATATTGTACAGAAGGAATATAATTCCTGGAGCTGAGGTGTTAAATTTGCTGATGCAAACACTAACAGAATTTATCATACAATCACAGATGCCCTAATCCATGACAGTAATTTTAGTGTAATAAAGAATTGAAAATGTACCTGCTTGACTCTTTAGAAAATGAAGTTCAGATCAGCTACAAGAGGAAATGAAAAGAACATAGATAAATGACATAGTCATTAAGCAAAAAACTTTTTATTTTATTCAATAATTTTTTGTCATTTCCCCTATGGACTTCTACCTCTCTTTGATGAAAATAGCTAATCTTTTCAACAAAACTGTTTTTAAAAATGTTAAAAGAAATGCTTACTTTATAGCCATATTTTGAGTTTTCTCTGGTTCATCCACTAAATATTTAATTAACAAAATAAGCAATATATGAAGAAAAGAAGATCCACTAGACTTGACTGTACAGTTCCCGAGGGCAAGGGTGATTCTCTTTCCCATTGTTACATTTCCATGTCCAGCACCATGCCTGGTATATTGGTAGTAGGCATTATCTATCTATCTATCTGCATATACACACACTAACACACATATTCAGAAATATAAATATGTTCTTATTTAGTACATCAACTAAGAAATGAAAGAATGAGAGAGATACTGATAACTGATTAATATTGTAACCCACTAATTAGACAAATCATCTCTGAATGTTCATAAATCAACTACAGTATGACATCACAATTGTAGAAACACATTTTTTTTAAGATTATACTAGTTGACTCTCATTTGAGTCTTTATTATCTTTTTATTTTGTTCTAAAATTTGCCCATGGCATACCAAAAGATGAAGAACAGTGTGGACTGGGGCTAAAAAATCTTCAGGTGATGGGAGATTATTTCCAAACTCTTGCAGTTTCCCAGTGATTCAAAGAGTTGAAATGCCTTGCATTCCCCGAAATCTGATACCATCACAAGAATTAAAGCACTTATTCTGTGACATTCAACCCTTGCTGACTTTAGTCCATAAATGCCAATATGCATTGTAATGTTTTATTGAGCCCAGAGTGCTCAAAGAGAACTATAAACTCTTCTCTTCCCAGGTGCTCCATGGAAAATAAGCGATCTACAGGGAAAAAGCTCTGTCTCAAATAAGTTTGGAAATCATAAGCTTGTCTCCTTTGGAGTCTTACAATGCCCATTAGCATATTAAAGACTCTAAGAAATACCAAATTCATTTTTAACTAACATATTAAACTATGTTTAATTTTGTTAGCCCCCATACTTCCTGTGCTTCAAATAATCTGTTGGCAGCTCAGCACCATTCCCTGCTCTCCTGTGAAACAGGGGCTCAAGCAGAGAAAAATATTTCTGAGAATCCCTTGCCAGTATGGTTTTAGGTTATAATCTACTAGTAAGCAGTGCTCCCATGACATATAAAAGGCAGAAGAGAGATATAGCATCTGTTTTGCTCCTTTATTACTGTGTACAGACACATAAGCATCAAAAGGTCTGAAGCCCTAAGAATTTTGCTGCAAATCACCCACTTCTCTTTAAAGAGCTCATCAAGTAGTAAAAAGAAGTAAATAATAATAATTTAAAACATTTACTATTGTGAAAGTTGACTATACAAGTGGGGTCTTTCTTGACATGCTCAACTAAATTGGAGTCAAGAGGCCAGAGGGGGAAAGCCTTCAGGGCACACAGCAACTGCTAGAAGAATCTTCCACAAGCCCAGCTGCTGAAACAGGCTGCTGTAACCTTAAGACCAGTTTTACCTAGTAGCTGCTGAAACGACCTGCCATGACTGTAAGACTAATTGTACTTACCATCATCACTCTTCAGTCAGAGCTTGCCAGCTCCCAAAAGCTTCTCTGGTGGCAGTGACCTTTCTTTCAAGAAAATAAGTAACATTTCTCTTTCTAATAAAACTCCCAAACTTTCCTTGTTCTTGGAACATACCAAAGATCACATGATCTATGTGGTCTATGTGTATGCTCTTAATTGCAATTCTTCCTTCCCAAAATAAAACATCAAATTTAGAGATTTGTCTTAATATTTTATTTTGACTTTGACACTATGTGCCCTCATTTTCCGAACATTTTACATGTGTTAATTTATTTAACCTTCACAACAAACTTTTGGGGTGGGAGTTATTGTTTAGGTAATATCTATAGATATATTAGAAATTAAAATTGAGAAATTTACAGAATTTTTATTTTAAAATGAATTTTAAAGTTATTTAAAAAATAATAAACCTACCACATATTACCACAAATTATGTATTTTTATTAAAAATATTTCCAAAATAAAATAAATATAAGAAAAAGAGTTTTATCATTTTAGATTTTTGCAAATCTCAATAGTGAATGGCAGTATTCACTATTGGTAAAAGTGAGCTGTATCCAGTCTTCTGCATTCAATGTGTCTGTAATATTCTGTTTTAGCTGAAGTATATAAAAATAAAAAAACTGCAGTCTCAAACAGATTCGTAGTTGAAAATGCGAGGAGTCTTTTAATAGCCGCTTCAGACAATTGTAGGTATAGCAGGGTCTCCAATAATGTTGTTTTCTCAACATCGTTTTGTTATATAATTTTTTTTTTTTTTTTTTTTTAGACAGAGTCTGGCTCTGTCGGCCAGGCTGGAATGCAGTGGTGCGATCTCACTGTAATCTCCACCTTCCAGGTTCAAGTGACTCTCATGTCTCAGCTTACGAGTAGCTGGGATTACAGGCATAGCCACCACACTAGGCTAATTTTTATATTTTTAGTAGAGATGGGATTTCACCATATTGGCCAGTCTGGTCTAGAACTGCTGACCTCAAGTGATCTGCCCGCCTCGGCCTCCCAAAGTGCTGGGATTACAGGCGTGAGCCACCATGCCCAGCCTGTTTTGTTATAATGTTGATGAGAAAAAATAATTGATTCCTGGACAAGGCCATTGTCTGTGTGTAGTCTGCACGTTCTCCCCATATCTGCATGGGTTTTCTTTGAGTACTGCAGTTTCTTACCACATCCCAAAGATGTGCACATTAGGTGAACTGGCATATCTACATGGTTCCAGTATGCATGAGTACATCTGTGTGTTGGGTGGGGGGCAGGTGTGCATGCCATGTGATAAAGAGGTGTCCTGTTCAGGGTTGGGTCCCACCTGGCTCCCTGAGCTGTCAAGATGGGCTCTGGGCCATCCTACACCCTTAACTGCAATAAGCTAGTTGGAAGGTGAATCAATATAAATTATAGTAAAATTAAAATTAACAAAGTAGATGATAATCCTACAGATGCACAACAACAAAATATGTAGCACAAAAGGCTCAGCAAGCCAACCATACTGATCATGGGTTGGTTTTGAACTAAGTGGTAGGTGCAGGTGCTCCTGACCATTTTCACTTTGCAAACATCCCTTGATTTAACCCATCACCACTACAACCACTGTCCCTCACTGATTCACCAAAATGGGTAAATAATTATCTTACTTTTTATTCATCTTTCTTAAATTTATGTATAGCTCCCATTTATTTCAATTGTTTAACAGTAGAAGTGTTTGGGGTCTTTATTTAGAAATTTGATGCTATTTTTGTGACCAGAAATATACTGCAGGGTCTTAACTATTGTTTTTATTAATTAGCCTGTGGTAAAATTGTTTTTATTATATATCATTTTGCTTAAAGTCACAGTTTCCAAGAACTTATCAATGATGTTAAGACTTACTGTACTTTTCCTAAATACTCTCAGCAAAACTCAACAAGTAGTAGTTTCCTAAATATTAGTTGCAATGTAGAATCTGAAACTGTACCAGTGAATTTTTTAAGATGGACACATTACATTTCATTGGTTTGTCTTGAACTTTGAATGCATATTTTTATACATGCATTATTTTGTAAACATTATGCATTGGTCATTTATAAAGTATTATTTCAATGAGTTATACACACCTTCCAAATGTTGACAAATTGCATTCTACAAAAAAAATCTCATTTGTTACTATCACTACTAAGCTCTTTAGAAACGTCTCTAACTATCGGGAAGCCTCAACCTCACAGTGACGGGAAAAACTTTCAAATATCTAATTTTCATCTGAAGGGTCAAATTTTAACCATTAGCCACAATACTGTCAGTTTTTTTTCTTGAAATGACAGACCCACTTTATTTCTGAGAACAGGTCTCCCAAATACCTAATCTGAATGACCATAGGTTTCCTGTGTCTCAAGTAAAAATGGCATTCCATTTTTAAAAGTGGGGGAGCCTAGGCCAAATCATCTCAAAATAAATGCATTTTCTTAAGAAAACCATCCTATTTCAGTATGCAGCAGAGTGCTTTATGCTCACATTGTCATTTTGTCACAATTAACATTGAAAAGATGTGTTCTCAAGGGTTGAGATCTAATAAAATAATCATATTTACCACTTCATCAAGAACATTTGTAAGGGAAATTTTACTTTTTTACTGCAAGTGTGTGATGATGAAGAATCCCCGGACTGCTTCCACTGCTTTGTGCCAGTGACTTGATTCATGCAAAGATGTTAGCAGTTTTACCCACCATGTTGTATCTTCAGCACAAATGCCAATATAGCGTAAAAAGTAACTAACATCTTAGTATTATTATAAAAATAGTTTTGACCTCAGGGACTCCAAAAACAAGTCTTGAGGACACAAAAGGATCTGGGGACCACACTTTGAGGACCACTGGTCTAATCCTTCCTGTATGTTACTATTAGATTCTTTCTAAACTGTTTCTTTCCTCCTGGATGATTGTTCTCCATCACCTATAGCACAGAACTCAAGCTTCTTAGCCAACTTTTAAAGGATATATCATACTCTGGCACCAATATATCTTTCCAACATGGTCTTTCAGAATCAATCTACAGCAGGGGTCCCCAAGCCCCCAGCCATGGACTGGTACTGGTTGGTGGCCTGTTAGGAACTGGGCCGCACAGCAGGAGGAGTGCAGTGAGCAAGTGAGCAAAGCTTTATCTCTATTTACAGCTACTCCTCATCACTCTCATTACCACATGAGCTCCGCCTCCTGTCAGATCTGCAGTGGCATTAGATTCTCATAAGAGCGCAAACTCTGTTGTGAACTGTGCATGCAAAGGATCTAGGTTTTGCTCTCATTATGAGAATCTAATGCCTCATGATCTGTCACTGTCCCTCATCACCCCCAGATGGGACCATGTAGTTGCAGGAAAACAGGCTCAGGGCTCCCACTGATTCTACATTATGGTGAGTTCTATAATTATTTCATTATGTATTCCAATGTAATGATAATAGAAATAAAGTGCACAATAAATTAATGCGCTTGAATCATCCTGAAACCATCCCCCTACCACATCCATGAAAAATTGTCTTCCACAAAACCAGTGCCTGGTGCCAAAAATGTTGAGGACCACTGCTCTGCAGTTACCAAATACTGCTCTATAAGCCAGTCAGAGCTATTCCCTAAATTTCTACCTTTCTCTGTCTCTAATATAGCACACACTATTTGCTTGTATGAAACATCCTAACTCTTCCTCACTGGTATAAAATCACAGCCAGCTGAGGTTCACCTTTTTCAACAACGCCCTCTCTGATTGCTCCTATCCGCGGTGATTTCTCCATCCTATATGTTCAGCATTCATTGTCTAAATAATCTCCTTAGCACTTCCTGCACTGCCTTTGTTGAATATATTGCTTGTACTTGTACTATTTTTTTTTTTTTTTTTTTACAAATTAGTCACACTTTTATGGACTGGTGCCTTATCTTTCCAGTTCCCTAAGGGCTGAGACCGTGTGTTACAAATCTTTGTACACAACACAATGGGAGATACATAAGCACAAAAATAGTTTTTGATCGAAAAGTTGTGGTTGTTCTAACTAGTCAGGCTGATAAAAGCCAACCCCAACTATCTTCTAGAAATAATTTGCTATCTAATCAGTAATAAATATCTTTCATGGAATGTCAAATGGAAAGAAAAAAATGGGTCATAAATTTCAGCCACAATTATTTATACTCCTTTAATATAGTCCTTAGGACTACACTATTTGAGACCAACATTTCTTAAGACTATAAGCTTGACAAAGTACATACGCAAGTTGATGAAATATTTGATGGTCGTTCCTCTTGGGGACAATTTCTGTTGTCCTAGTGCAATAAGTACTGGCTCTGGGTTGTGTGCTCTTAACTACAGATCTTTTTACTAACCAGATGTCTAAAGACTATGCTGCCTCTGGGCATATTCTGACAGCTTTTACTTTCTCTGAGGGTTTATCATAGAGGAAATAAACAAAATGACGCTACAGCCATTGTAAGTACAGTAAGTAAAATGTTTTGTCTCTCTCTAGGCAACAGGATTGCAGCTTATATTCAGTAAATACATTACTATCAAGAGGCCTTGAATTTCATGATACCTTGAGGTTCTCATTAAGGCTATCATATTGCACAATGGATATGTATTTTTAGGTATCAAAAAATGCTTTATTAACTTAGTCTTTTTAAATGAGCAATTGTGGGAGGTAAACATTCTTCACGCTGATTTTCATTTTCTAGAAGCTAGCATTAGAAAAATCACCCTAACAATAGTTTATAATCTTCATCTAAAAAAGTCTACTAAAAATTCAGTGAATATGCAGGATTTAGTGTATGGAAGTGTAAAAGGGGAGTCAGGGACGGGAGGGGATATGTACTGAGACAAATTTGGAGATGAAAATTTTACATTTGTCTAAATGTAATCTAATTTTTTCGAAAACATATATACACATGCCCATAACCTCTTTTGTATGGTTACTATGAAATAGGCAGGGGCTAGAGGTGACAGCACCACTTTATCTGTGCTTTCAGTCTCATGTGTAAGAAGCTTCTTACACGGAACTGAGTTTGGCCCATTTCTTAAAGTCAATATCAATTCTTCAGGACAGATTTTTTCAATTAAATAAAAATATCCCATTTAGTGTGAGAGTAAGATCCAAAAAATGATAAAAGGATCAATGAAACAATAAGTTGGTTCTTTGAAAAGATAAACAAAATTGACATACCACTAGCTAATTTGAACAAGAAAAAGTGAAGATTCAAATAAGCACAATCAGAAATGATAAAGGTGACATTACCACTGATACCACAGAAAAACAAAAGATCATCAGAGATTACTATAAACATCTCTATGTACACAAACTAGAAAATCTAGAGGAAATGGATAAGTTCCTGAAAACATATAACCTCCAAAGATTCAACCAGGAAGAAATAGAAACCCTGAACAGACCAGTAACAAGTAATAAAATTGAATCAGTAATCAAAAATCTTCCAACGAAAAAAAAGCCCAGACAAGACAGATTCATAGCCAAATTTTACCAGACATACAAAGAAGGCTAATATTTCTTCCTAACTCATTGTATGAAACCGATATCACCCTGATACCAAACTCAGGTAAAAAAGCAAAAAAAGAAAACTATAGGCCAATATCCATCATAAACATAGAGCAAAAATCCTCAGCAAAGGACCAAGCACAGTGGCTCATGCCTGTAATCCCAGCACTTTGGGAGGCTGAGGAGGGTGGATCACAAGGTCAGGAGATCAAGACCATCCTGACCAACATGGTGAAACCCCACCTCTACTAAAAATACAAAAAATTAGCTGGGCGTGGTGGCGGGCACCTGTAGTCCCAGCTACTCGGGAGGCTGAAGCAGGAAAATGGCATGAACCCAGGAGGTGGAGCTTGCACTGAGCCGAGATCGCATCACTGCACTCTAGCCTAGGCAATAGAGCAAGACTCTGTCAAAAAAAACTGGGTTTTATTCCAGGAATGCAATGATTGTTCAACATTCACAAATCAATAATGTGTTCACCATATAAACAGAATTAAAAACACAAACCATATGACCATCTCAATAGATAGAGAGAAAGTATTTAGTAAAATCAAACATCCCCTCATGATTTAAAAAAAAAAAAAAACCTTTAACAAACTAGACATTGAAAGAACATACTCAAAATAGTAAGAGCCATCTATGACAAACCCATAGCCAACATTATACTGAGTGAGGAAAAACTGAAAGCATTACTCCTAAGAATTGGAACTAAGCAAGAAAATCTTGTTCCAATTCAACATAGCACTGGAAGTCCCAGTCAGAGCAATCAGGCAAGAGAAAGAAATAAAAGCCATCCAAATAGGAAAAGAAGAAATCAAATTATCTTTGTTTACTGATGACATACTTTCATACATAGGAAACTGTAAAGACTCCTATAAAAGACTTCCAGGCCTAGTAAACAACTTCAGGAAAGTTTCAGGACACAAAATCAACATCCAAAAATTAGTAGCATTTCTATACACCAAAAACATTCAAGCTAAGAACCAAAACAAGAACTCACTTCCATTTACAATAGCCACCAATAAAATAAAATACCTAGGATTACATTTAACAAAGGAGGTGAAAGATCTCACAAAAAGAGCTACAAGACACTGATAAAAGAAATCACAGATGACATAAACAAATGGAAAAGTATCCCATTCTCATGGATTGGAAGAATCAGTGTTATTAAGATGATCATACTGCTCAGAGCAATTTACAGATTCAACACAAATCTATCAAATTATCGGTGTTATTCTTCACAGAATTAGAAAAAAAATCCTGAAGTTCATATGTAACCAAAAAAGAGCCCAAATTGCCAGAGCAATCCTAAGCAAAAAGAACAAAGCTGGATGTATCATATTACCTGACTTCAAACTATACTACAAGGCTAGAGTAACTAAAACAGCATGGGACTGGTACAAAAATAGACACATAGAACAATGGAACAGAATAAAGAACCCAGAAATAAAGCCACATACCTATAACCAGCTGAACTTTATCAAAATTGATAAGAATAGACAATGAGGAAAGGACACTCTATTCAACAAATGGTGCTGGGAAAATTGGTTAGTCATAGGCAGAAGAATGAAACTAGACCCTTATCTCTCACCATATACAAAAATAAACTCAAGATGGATTAAAAACTTAAATACATAAGACCTGAAACTATAGAAATCCTAGAAGAAAGTCTAGACAAACTCTTCTAAACATTGGCCTAGGCAAATGTTTATGATGACTTTATGATGAAGACCCCAAAAGCAAATGCCACAAAAACAAAAATAGACAAATGGAACTTAATTAAACTAAAAAGCTTCTGCACCGCAAAAGAAATAGTCAATAGAGTAAACAGACAATCTACAGAATGAGAGAAAATAATTGCAAATCATGCCTCTGACAAGGGACTAATATCCAGAATCTACAAGAAACTCAAATAATTAAAGAGAAGCAAACAAACTCAGTAAAAAGTGGACAAAGGACACGAACAGACATTTCTCAAAAGAAGACATACAAGTCGCCAAACATGAAAAAATGTTCAATGTCACTAATCATCATGCAAATTATGCAAATTAAGCCACAATGAGATATCATCTTACACCAATCAGAATGGCTATTACTAAACAAAAAACAATAGATGTTAGCATGGTTGTGGAGAAAAGAGAATGCTTATACACTGTTGATGGCAATGTAAATTATTACAACCTCTATGAAAAACATTCAGATTTCTCAAAGAACTGAAAATAGAACTGACCCAGTAATCCCGCTGCTGAGCATTTACCCAAAAGAAAAGATATCATTATATACAAAAGACACCTTTATTTGTATGTTTATTCCAGTACTATTTACAACCACGTAGTTATGGAATCAACCTAAGTGTCCAACAATGGTGGATTGGATAAAGAAAATGTGGTATATATACCTTACAGAATAATATACAACCATAAAAACAATAAAATCATGTCCTTTGCAGCAATATGGATAGAGCTGGAGGTCATTCTCCTGAGTGAAATAACTCAAAAACCGAAAAATCAAATACCACTTATTCCCACTTAAAAATGGGAGGTAAACAATGGGTACACCTTGACATAAAAATGGAAAAAACAGACACTGGGGACTCCAGAAGTGGGGAGGGTAGAAGAGGGGTGAGGGTTAAAAGATTACCTATTGGGTACAATGTTCACTATTTGGGTATTCTAGAAGCCCTAATCTCACCATTACACAATACATCCATGTAACAACCTGCACATGTACCCCCTAAATTTACATATAGATAGAGATATAGATATACACCTGTATCCCTGAATCTATATATATGTGTGTGTATATATGTGTCTGTATATATATTTATATATATACATATATATGGGATATATACACACATGTATGGGATATATGCATACACATATATATAGGATATATATATGGGATATATAAACACATATATATGATATATACACACATATTTATATATATCCATTTAGATATGTTCATATGCCTGTCTTAAAAATATACAAAAGAGTTAATAACATATAAATCTTAAGGAAATTATATTAATTATAACAAGAACCACTTGTTGCTTATTAAAAGTGCAGATTCCTAAGCAATGCTCTAAAGCTAAAGAATCTGCATTTCTCCAGGTAGGGCCTGGAATATGTATTTGACAAGTTCCAAAGGTTTATTGCATATATTCTGAAGTTTAAGAACGACTGATGAAGACAGACCATCTAGAGCTTTGATGAGTATCCCTCATTCCGTGTAAACTTATACAACCTTCCCATCTCAACTGTATGGCCATGATCTAATTCTAAATGAAATTTTCATCTTAATAAAATACAGGAATCTGAAATCAACCATTGGTTAGTGATATGGTTTGACTCTGTGTCCTCACCCACATCTCATCATGTAGCTCCCATAATTCCAACATGTTGTGGGAGGGACCAAGTGGGAGATGATTGAATCATGGGGGCAGGTCTTTCCTGTGCTGTTCTTGTGACAGTGAATGGGTCTCACGAGACCTGATGGATTTAAAAATGGGAGTTTCTCTGCACAAGCTCTCTCTTTGCCTGCTGCCATCCAAGTAAGACATGACTTGCTTCTCCTTGCCTTCCACCATGATTGTGAGGCCTCCCCAGCCACATGGAACTGTAAGTCCATTAAACCTCTTTCTTTTGTAAATTGTCCAGTCTCAGGTATGTCTTTATCAGCAGCATGAAAACAGACCAATACAGTTAGTGTCCCCTTGGGAAAACAGCTGATCCTCACTAGACTTCAAACAATCTTATCAACTGGGATCTTGGCAAGTGTTACACAGTAGACCATTCTAGGCTACAGAACATAAGTTTATGAAAGCAGCAACTTTCTCTGTTGCTTTACTGCTACATCTTCCATGCCTGGAAGATTGGACCCCTAATAAATATTCAGGAAATAGTCATTCATCCATTCTTTAGCAAGAACCCAAGAAATAAATTTTCATTTTCTTCTTAGGAAATTTTACCACATTCATGAGGAGACAGAATAGAATCCCTTAAAATAACATTTTTTTTTTGTTTTAGAACATAAGTGTCAATGTGTAGGCTAAAGCCATGATTTAATGAGGACCTAACAATGATTAATAATGATTTGTAACTAACATTTTTCAGATCATCAGCATAGCAAGGGGATTTTTCTTATTTTAGCATTACAATGTTTACATGAACATTGATCATTTTAAAATAATGCGTTGCCTTAGGTAAATATTCTCACATGATCTTGTTTTACTCTAACATTTTTTAGCTACCACAAAGGCTAAATTATAAGACATCTCAGAGGTGAATCATAAAACAAATATATTACATATAAATTATTGAGGTATTTTCTCATATTTGCTCTTTTATTTCACAACAAAATAATGCCTAATGTATTAGGTGCCTCAGGTCTGTCACTAAACTCCTTTTATAAAAACAATGACTTTTCATACTAATGTTAGCACTTCATCGGAAAACATTTTGTTTTCTTGTGAAGACAATGTTAAAACCTCTCAGTTAAAACAATGAAATTAAAGCAGTACATAAACTTATGAGACTATTTTACTGTTTGTCATTATAAAAGTTTCAAGCAAATTCTAAAGGTACTGCTGTCATGTAATAATAGAAATATGTCTTCTGGGCCTGGCGCAATGGCTAAAACCTGTAATTCTAGCACTTTGGGAGGCAAGGTGGGTGGATCACCTGAGGTCAGGAGTTCCAAAGCAGCCTGGCCAACATCCCCATCTCTACCAAAAATACAAAAATTAGCTGGGTGTGGTGGCGCTTGCCTGTAGTTCCAGCTACTCGGGAGGCTGAGGCAGGAGAATCACTTGAACCCGGGAGGCAGAGGTTGCAGAGAGCCAAGATCACACCACTGCACTCCAGCCTGGGCAACAGAGCAAGACTCCGTCTCAAAAAAACAAAACAATGTCTTCTGCACATCATGACTAAAAGACTGCATATCACACAAGAAAGGAAAAGAGAATTATTCACATAAGCTGTTCACATTGCTGTCAATTGTAAACCTGGGTGACTACAACATCTACAAACTGATCACTAGACATAACTATTGTTTACATCCTAAAACACACTGGTCAAGCCAATAATCATTATGACCTAATTCACAATAACACAAGCATGAGACTAGCAGACCTATGCATTGCATCAATCAAAGACAAAGCAATCATCACTAAAACCACAAGTAGAAAGAAAACATCAAAGCCAGGCACAGTGGCTCATGCCTGTAATCCCAGCATTTTGAGAGGCCAAGGCAGGAGAATCGCTTGAGCCCAAGAGTTGGAGACCAGCCTGGACAACAAAGTGACCTCATCTCTACAAAAAATAAAATTATTAGCTGGATGTGGTGGTACATGCCTGTAGTCCCAGCTACTCAAGAGGCTGAGGCGGGAGGATTGCCTGAGCCCAGGAGATTGAGGCTGCAGTGAGCTATGATCATGCCTCTAACTCCAGCCTTGGTGACAGAAAGAGACTGTCTGAAAGAGAGGGAGAGGGAGAGAGAGAGAGGGGAAGAAGGAAGGCAGGAAGGCAGGAAGGCAGGAAGGAAGGAAAGAAGGAAGGAAGGAAGGAAAGGAAAACAGCTGCTCATGAAACCAAGTGAGGTAGAGTAACTGATAAAAAAGCCCGTGTAAAAGTGTAGCATCAAAGAAAGCATCATCTTAGTACTGAGAACTTTCAATAGCCATTATTAGGTTAAGGGATTACAGATCAGAAAGTAGCCCATAAGTATGATGATAAATGATTAACATTGTTCTCTAAAAACTTAGGATTATTTTGAAAATAGCTGTTATAAGATGCACTACTATAGGACTGACCAATGAATCTTGGCCAACATACCAAGGGTTCTGGGATTTAATAAAACAAATATGAAAGGTCTTATTCTAGTTCTACTACATAGCATAACCATAAAAAAACAATGAAAAAAATCTCTAAACTAGGTTTGGAATTAAGTATTTATGTTTAAGGAAATTGTCAAAGCTTTTAGGTATTTGCATTTTTATTCAGAGATTTCTATCCTAACAACAGATTACTGAAATGCATTAAGGCATTTAGAATAAAAAATAACCCACATTTACCTGATAAAGGATTTTGTAATATATTATTATTGGTACTTTGGTATGGAACTTCTTAAATTACTTTTGCACACATCATTTAATTTATTTTTCAAAGATCTCCACAGGAACTAGAGAGGAAAGGTGTTATTATGTCTACCTCTTGAGAAAAAATACTGAGAGGAAGAAATTTTGTAAAACCTTTATGTGAGTTTATATTCAGTCTGCATCAGAATGACAGATCTGATTCAGCCTAAAGATACAAATCATCTAACTTTCAGATTTTCTACTCATGTTTCTATGTCCAAAAGTTTTGGAAGATTCATACAATTATATAGATAAGTGAGGTTATAACTCATATTTATGAAACAAAAAATAAATATTCAACTAGAGGGTTTGCTCATTTACAAAAAAAATTCATGGAGGATTCCTGTAAACAGCATTTTAAGAGAGAAAGGAAAGTTCCTGAGCTGACCTAAGTACCCAGTAGGTTGATAGGCAATTTTTATGTTTTTCCTAAATTAATTTTCCCATTAGTCCTGCAAGGTAGGATTATTGCATCATTTTATATAAAATGTAGCTCAGAAAGGTTGAGAAATAGTGAAGTCTAGGGTTTTCCCCATTGCCCTAGTGCTTCTCAAACTAATCCCCGCAGTGCCCTGATGGCAGAGGAGAGAGAACATGGACCCAAGGTCTAGGGTCCCAGCTGCCCTTGCACCATCACTAACACCCTTGTCACATCCACACGCAGCCTAGGTTACCTCCTACAAGGACAACACCAGACCCTCCAGGCACACTTCATCCAGACACACACAAGCCATGTCACAACTCTGACATTCTGACTTCCCAATTCCTTCTGCCCTATGCTTACTTCATTACCTTAAACCCCTTACTCCTCCCCAAAACCCAACTTAAATGTCACCTCCCGAGTAAATCCTTCAGCCTGTTTTGACACCTACAGAGAATGACCTACACAACATTTTGTTCATACATGTATAAGAATATTAACTACTTTTATTGTGATTTATTTATGTCCTATTGTGTCACTAGACTTGGAGCTCTCTGAAGGCAGAGAGCTATCTGGTTCATTCTGATATCTCTAGTACCTAGCACGGTTCCTGGGAAAAGATAGATTTTTCTATGCATATTTGTTGAATGAAGTGCTAGCAGGTAAAGTAGAAAACCTGGCAACCGTTGGGTTGTTTGAATGTAAATATGCTTCCAAAATATTTCTGGGTAGAGAATGAGTAAATAGTTAAAAGTAGTGTGTTCTCGTTATTCTTTGAAACATTCTTTGTACAATCTTGCTTTTTCAAATCTATTTACTCTATCGTTGATTAAAGGGCTGGCTAGGAAAATTTTATATAGCCAAAACTATGACAAATTACTAATTAATACCATCCAAATTCATAAGATATGGGTGTTTCTAAAGGGAAAACAGATAATAAGAACTGGAATGCCCCCAAAATATATAAATAGCTGTTTGCTTTTGATAATCAGAAAATCAGATTTGACTACCTTATTTAATATTTGTTTCTTATTTCTATATCTTACTCAAAAATCCTAATGTTGTGAAAATAAATTTTTATAAAGAGTTTTGAAAGTAGATGTTTTTACAATTTCAAACTTCAGAGAATATCTCATACAAAGTTTTAATGAAACATACCAAGTAAACTCCTGTTAAAAGAAAGAAATAAATAGGCATCACTGTCCTCTTTTTACTCATTCATCTCTGCTAGCCTTAGGGAAATATACATTTACATGGAAATTGCACTCATTTTCAAAAACTACAAAGCAATTACAAGATAACAAGATGAAAAACTTTTCTCCTGTACCAAAATCAAAGGCAGCTAAGTTTCTATTCTTCCCTGATTTTGTGCAGCTAAGATTGTTGCTCTAATAATTTCAACAATAACAACATTAGTAATAGGTTACAAGAGGTGATATTCTTTATGGAGTTTTTTTTTTTTCTTATGGGGTTGTCCCCACCCCAAGAGCAGCAAATAAGCCCCTGACTACTCATAAAACGATTGCAGGTGATGGACCAGCCGACACGTGCCACAGAGGGCTGGAGCAGGATAGGCGGCCTTCATGCGTCCCACATGGCCACTTTTATGACAGTTTGTCCAAACATAAAAAAAAAAGCAACTACTACAGCAACGAGGCTCATGGGAAAAGATGCAAGCTAGGCATGAAAATACTTACTGATTCCTGAGTGTGTGTGGTTGAAAGATGTAGCCACGAACCTTGGCAGAAGGGCTCCTTTGAGGGCAGTGTGAAAGGTCAACGGTTTTGCCATAAACTAACAAAACACAACGAAGGGGAGAAAAAGAAAAAGCAGCCCCCATGGGGTTAATTATAGCAGAAATATCATCCAGTCTCGAGCTTATGGAACTATAAACCCACCTGCTGATTCTCCCTTCTTCTCCTTCCATGGGACGGGAAGGCAGCCAATCAGAAGCAGTTATAGATACCACCCACCTCGCCGCTAATCCGTCGCAGGTTGGCAAGATAAAGCTAAAACAAGACAAGTGCCTCCATCCTCTCCTGCCTTTCCAATCAGGGTTAATACTGATCGTTATTTGGTCACTGGCTAGTCCAGCTGCAGTGATTTGCTACCTCCTCTTCCCCTCTCATATTTGCATTTGAATTGCCTTCATCCTAACACTAAAATGGCTCAAAGCTTGTTTTGCCTGACCTTACGGAGATAACATGCACTTCTTCATAATCAGTCAGTATCTACCATCTGTGTCTTCCTAGAACGATGCTTGGATAATGTTCACATCTCCCAACAGATGTTCTAAGAATGATCAGGCTTTTTTTCTTCTGTAAGCATGAATCCTTATAATATACACATATAACATGCATATATGTATGTCTATGTGTGTATGCATATATGCATACAGTCTGATTATATTGCTTCATCTTGGATAATTTCAAGCTGCTTGGTTGGTGATCATTTGGCTTTAAATACTTTTATAAATAGCATAGTCTCATTTTGACTAAAGATGAGAATTTTAGTTCCATCTGTATAGGAAGCCCTTAAATTGCAGCATATTTATATGGTGAGACTTGGTAGCTGGGAATGTCAAACTGTAGGCTTTACTAACAAATGTGATTTGCCAAGTACTCTCACAATATTTGAAACACTAAATTAGGCACTTCTTGCAGCCAGAAAAAATGGCAGTTCTTTCCCTTATTGGGTTTATATTCCAACAAATATCACCATCTGCTATTTATTCTTCTTATTTTGAACATGGTATCACAGAGACACAACAAGTTTAAATGAATCTGTAAGATTCTATAGTTAACATACTCCATCCAGGGAACTGGAAAATCTTTAGAAGTTATTTTTCTTAATTCACTTTTATTGGAAAATGTTCTCTCACTCATATTGGATTGAGAGTTTAGACTCTGAAGGCAGACTGTCTGAATTCAGATCTTATCTACCTCTACCAAGTGATAGTTGTAGCACTCAAGCACCCTACCGAACCAATTTCTTCATCTGCAAAGTGAAAATAACAGCCATACCTATTATTCAGAATTGTGGTTAAGGGTTAAATGAATATACATAAAGATCCAGGTCTACAATAAATTCCATGTCAGCATTAATCCTTACCCATGAGCTGTGACACTCCCCAAAAGGGACATGCTTAAGCCCAATGTTCAAGTGTATATGGCCACCATTTCTGTATACTTATATACATTCTCAATGAAAATCACAAGTCTAATTTAAATGTGAGACAGTCACATTTGCTGAGTAACCACTGTGTGTCTTCACCTTCTCCAATATTGTTAGTTGCCTAACCAATTTTCATCTTTCACTTCTTCCTTACCAACATAATCTTTTTTTTAATCGTGGGGTTAGCAATATGTCCAGCTAAAAGAAAGAAAATGCATTTCCCAGACTCTTATTCAGATGGGGGATTCATGTGATACAGTTTTGGACGATGAGAGATCAATGGGAGTTTTTGGTGGAGATTCCTGAGAAATCTCCTTGAAAGGAAGCAAATTCTACTAGGAAGTGGAGTTTGCTTTTGCTCTTCTCTTTCTTCCTGCCTGCAGAGTGAATGTGATAGCTGGAGCCCCAGCAGCCACCAGGTGACCATAAGGAAAGAAAGCCTCCGGGGATGGCTGAACAAAGGGGTGAAGAGAGCCTGGGTCATGGCGTCATAGCCCTGGACTACCTCTCTTCCAACTGACTTCTCATTAGGAATTAAAAGATAAATGCTTATCCTATTTGAACTACTCTTATTTGGGTTTTCTATACATACAGCCAAACTCAGTCCCTAATATAAGTGGGCATCATTGTCCCCACTCACAGATAAAGTTAAGGAACTCCTGTGATGACACAGCCTGGAGATGGCAGAACTGGATTTGGAACCAAAGCATTCTGGGCCCAGAGCTCACATGCTAAATTATATACTACAAGCTTCTTTAAAAAGTACAAAGAAGATTAGATTTAGGAACCAGAAATTGACTTTATCTGACTTTTCCTCCTATCTATACACTCCCTTTCCTTGATCCACTATTCATTCCTTTGGACAAGTAACCCCATTTAGTGTACTAAGTATGAAGCACACTGCACCAGGCGCTGGAGATGCTACACTGACAAGCCAGACAAGATCCCTGCCTCATAGAGCCTGTACCTGTGGGGGTATAGATGAGAACATAGACCATTACAATGTTATAAGCACAATCATGTGGGTGATACAAGGTACCATGGGAAACAAAGGAGGAGTCCTAGCCCAGTTGGTTTTCTCTCCCTCCCCAAAAATATAGTGACTAATTATCCAGATGTGCAGAAAAAAAAATCAGAAAAAGTGAGCTCCTCTACTTAAATAGTCTCATAGATTATTTTCTCCTGAAGGAGAGGGGAGCCAGCTAGAAAATTTTCCTTACACCTTCTTGACTTGACACAGGATTCCTCAGCCTTTTTTCATATTGCCTATGCAATCATTCTTACAATTGTTCTTACTCTTGACACACAGATGTGAGAAATATTTCCCAATTCTCCCACAAGTGGCATTCAAAGGACTGTTACTCTACTATGGTTAGTCCTGCCCATGTCTCTCCATAAGCTGTGTTACTGTCTGCCTTCAGAAGCTGTCTCTTCAGTCTGTGTTGTAATAAGGCTATCATTACTCTGCTTGCCTTTGTTCACTTCCATCCCTCCTGGATAGAATGGCAATTGGAAAGGAACAATGAGGATCCTCCTTTTAAATCTTCTGCCGCAGATCCACGTAAAATAACTTCCTTCTCTGTTTCACAAAGCCCAAACCTTCCTTCTGACACCACCTTAGGCTTCATCTGTGATTCACATATCTAATATAAAAAGGCCCCCTTTTGTTAACCACTGCATCAGGAAATCGAGTAAGATAATAGACTACTCTCTCTTGCTCTCACCCCCCATGTCCTTCTCTCTCAATGGAGCACTATATCTCATAAGATTCTAAAAAGGAAAGGCAGAATGAGATTGTTAAAACCTCTACTGCATTTTGATCCTATTTTACCTGATTAACTATCTATTCATCATTTGCCTTCTGAGTATGAAATACAGAAGCATCATGCTGCTCAGGGGAACATCAAGCTGTACTTTGCTGGTTTCTACCATTGACAGGCACCAACATGGAATCACTTGATAAACCTAAAAGCAAAGAAAGTATTCAGGTAATAGACACAGCACAAATAACAACAAAAACAAGCAAATGTATCACTTTATTGTAATTGTCCTTAGTGGCTTAAAAGCATGGCACAGACTACGTTTTTTGCATGAATAATGACCCCTTTTGTCTTCCAACTTTTTACAATAACAAACTTATATGCCTATCTCACTTCTTAACACATTATCCCTGGTTATCCCATTTGTCACCATAATTATGTGACTTGAAGGGCAATAATCTGGTGAAACAAGGACTTTGAGTTTTCATTCTAAGCTCATAACTTCTGATATAACCTTGTATGAATTATCCAAGCTCCACAGCCCCATCATTAGAATAGCAGTGACAATAACCTACCTCAGAGGTTTATATGAAAACAAGCAGATTTTTCAAATCATGATGAGACACTTTGCACAAACAAAGGGCTTTGAAGCTGTATTGTCATTCTCGGACTTCTGCTCTACTTCCAATTACGGGGTGAAGTCGGTCACTGATTAATCCTTACTAGAGCCACAGTCTCTTCCTAGGAAGTGCAGCCACAGGGCAGAAGAGTGTCAAGATGAAATATGCATTGAAATATCATTCTCAAAACTTTGGATAACAAAAGGGGCTGTGGGTTCTTTTCATTATCGCAAAAAAAAATCTGAGTTCTTTGTGTCTTCATAGAAAACTGAACACAGGGAAGCTTGATAGAGGGGAATCAAGGATGAGAACACTGATTTCCATCATTTATTCTTGCCATGCTGAAGAAGAATGAGTAATAAACACGGAACTGAGGCTGCCATCTTATACCATCTACCCCATGTGTATTCAGCATCTGACAGTACCAAGGCTTAGCATAATAGGCAGAAAACCAGATACAGATAACAAAATTGTGCTCCTCACAAGACCCCAGTGTGCTAACCCTTTTCACCATCATTACTCCCTCTTTCTAACTTTCCTGTTGCATTCCTGAGTCTCTCACTCAATTTTTGTACACTCTTGTCCTTGTTCTGCTCCACAGTGCTGGGCCCTCTCCATTTTCTGTAATTTCAAGAGAAATTTCCACCAACAAAAGTTTTACTGATGGTGAATATTTACATTTATTATGGGGAAAAAGTGGTAGCAGCCATTAAACTTCACCCTGCTGGAATCCTCTCCTAAATATTTCCATAATCCCTTTGGACTCTCAAATGTGATCTTTGGGTAGGATGATAAACAGGCACATGGACAACTGCTGAGTCTAAGTCTCCCTGTTTCTCCCTCCCTCTCCTCCCCATTTCATGGTTTTCTCTATGAAGCTGCCAGGGGCCTTTTGAAAATGTGAATCAGATCATTTCACTCCTTTGCTTAAAACCCTGCACTGGCTTCTCATAAACATAGGAATAAAATCCAAAGCCTATTGCATGACTCATAAAGACTTACGGGATGTGGCCACTAGCTACCTCTACAATCATACTTCCACAGCCTTCTCCTTGCCCGGCCACCCTAGCAGCAAGGTTGCGCTCCTCATATGCCCCAAGCACACTTATGCCTCAGGTCTCTGCAGTTAGCTTAACCTCAACTAGGATACTCTCTCTGATAGTCACAGGCTTATTATGTGCCTTCATTCAGGTTTATACTCAAATCTCAACTTAGCGTAGAGGCTTTCCCTGACCACCCTGTATTCAAAGCCTCCTTGGCTCTTGGCTATTACCTTACCCTGATTTATCTCTATAGCATCTATCAACTGTTGGTGTTATATTATTGTTCATTTGTTTACTTGTTTGGAAATTTACTAAAATATAGACTCCATGAGGGTAGGGACTTGGTCTGTTTTGTTCATCATTGCAGGTATCTTCAGCACACAGAGAAGTACATGATTCAAAGCAGACATGCAATAAATATGTGTTGAATAAAAGAGAAAGGGAGGGAATAGGGAAGGAGGGCAGAAAGGGAGGAGGAATGGAGAGGGAGAAAGGAGGGAACTTCAGAGGTCCATAGCAGGCAATCTACCCTAAAGGTTAAGAATATGAGCTCTGAGTAGAAGAGTGGTTACCAAAGGCTGGGAAAGGGAGGGGGCTGGGGAAGGATTGGTGAACTAGTACAAAGTTAAATAGGAGGAAAAAGTCTTGGTGTTCTATTACACAGGAGGATGACTATAGATAACAATATCATATTGTATATTTCAAAATAGCCAGAAGAGAGGATTTAGATTGTTTTCACCACAAAGAAATAATAAATGTTTTAGGTGATGGATGTGCCAAATACCCTGATTTGATGATTACACAATGTATACATGTATCAAAACATCTCACTGTCCCCAAAAATACATACAATTAGTCCATGTCAATTAAAAATAAACTAAAACTAAAAAAGTAAAATCAACTCTGGAGTCCAATCTTTTTGGGTTCCAAATCCTAGCTCCAACACTAGCCATCCACGTGACCATTTGTAAGTAACTTCTCTCCGATTCCTTATCAGTAAAATAAAGACGTTAAAGACAGTGACTCATGGGATTGTGTACTAATACAATAAAATGTATTAATTATAATGCAAATTAATATAATTCAATACTAAATTTGAGAAGAGAGAGTAGTGGTTAAAAGTAAAGACAGTGGCATCAAATTATCTAGGTTCAAATTTCAGCTTTACTACTTGCTGGCTGTATAATCTTTGACAAGATATTTAATATCTGCCTTGTTTTCATCATCTGTAAAGAAGGATATGTTAATACCCATCTCATAATAAGTGAGCATAAATAGAAAAAATAAGAACATCAAAGAATGAAAAGTGCTCAGTCCTAGATCACCCCAAATGACCAGTTTGGAGAGAAGAGGAGAGGGCACTGAAAAGGTGCTACCAGTGACATATGGGGAAAACCAAAAGAGTGTGTTGCGATGCAAAGCTAGCAGAAGTTTAATAAAGGAAACTAGTGTGATCAACTGTGTCAAATGTTCTGAGAGATAAACACAAGATAAGTTCTGGAAATTGGCCACTGGATTTAGTAATATGGAAATTATTTTTTACTGTGACAGGAATCAAATCTTTGGAGTGCTTGCAGAGATATCCTGTTAGAAGTGTGTATAGGAGAAAATGAGAGAAGAGAAATAGAAAACAGCCAACATAGACAACTCTTCTGAGGAGTTTTCCAGCAAAGGAGATTAAAGAAAAAGTTTGGTAACTGGTGAGAGAATGAGGCCAAGAGAATATTTTATTTTAGATGGGAGAAACAACAGCATGTTTGCATTTTGATGGGAATGAGCTAGCAGGCAGAATAATTGCCAAATCAATGTCTGTATAGCAAGAGAGAAGAGGATTAAGTGGACAAGAGAATGCTCTACCTAAAGTGAGAGCATGGATAGCTAATCTGTAGCAATACTCTGCTATATCACCATATATCACTATATCACCATATATCACTATATCACCATATCTATCAGTATCCAAACATTTATACTTCCTGCCAAGTGGGATACTGGTAGATATGGTGGTGGGAATTCCATGGAGCTTCTTTTTTTTAATTGCTTTAATTTTCATGGTGAAGAGGTTGAGAGGGATGACAGAGGAGAAGTGGTTAGGAGTGTGAGGGAAAGGAGAAAATGTGAAGTGTTGTCTAGGAGAATAGGAGATTGATTGGGCCAGTATAATTGCCTGGCAGCATTAAGGGCCTACTTAAGGTTTTTATCATGAACATAAAATGAGACCAGTCAGTATAATTACAAGTTCTCCTCCAGCAAGTTTCAGCTGGATAGTTGTAGGCTCTGAGAAGGAAAGGTTTCACACAGCTGCAGTTTCATGCAGCGGTACAGTGAAGAAAGAGGTGGAGAAAGGAAGTTAAGAGTAAATGTGAATAGAGATTATTATTATCGGACATGAAATTAAGCTGAGTAAGAAGAATAATGATATGTCTAAAGGAGAAGGAGAGTTTAAAGGTGGTAGATCCCCTCTCAGTGGGGTGGATGGGGAAGGTTATCGAAGGATGGCTAGATGTGAGCTGGGAGGAGGTGCTGGTTAGAGTGGGGTATGAAAAGTTGGGATTATGAGGGGTTTGGATTTATTGGTAATCACAGGGTCTCAGATATGACAACATGTGAGTGAGGGGCTGCACCAGGCTAGAGACAAGTTCATTGAAGACAAGTTCAATCAACTAAAGGTCAGGGTGTTAAAAGGATTCCTTGTGTGCATATTAAAGTGAGCAAGAATCACAAATGTGTTAGAGAGAAGAATGATCCAAGAATTAAACTGTAGAAAAATAAGAGAAAAAGACTGGAGACTCAGTACAGGGTGGCAACAATAATGGGTAATGAAGGATAAAATCTGATGACACAAGAGTCAACATTAGGAGGCTATAGGGAGGGAGAATCATCTGGAAGCAGCAATAAGGTGTAAGGAGGAGACCTCTGCCCTCAAGCTCAAGTGAGAAAGCTATGGAAGATAAAACAGCCATCACTTGTGACAGCTGTCAGGGAGGCAGAAACCCCAGGAGAGAGTCAGGTTTCTTTTAGAATAACAAGGTAAATGGAATATTTGGAAACTATGTTGAGGGTACAGGAGATTTTACTTCTAAGGAAACTGGAATTCTAGAAGGAACCATGGAAGAATTTTAGGAATTGGAGAAGGGTAATGAAAGAGAACAAAATACGGGTATATTGTGCTCAATGGGAATTAGAGTGTGGGAGAGGAGAGGTGACTTTGCTGTCTGGGGACTCCTTTGGTGATTGACATCAATAGGCAGTCTGTCACTTAGCAAAGCTCAAGAGCTGTGCTGGGAGATCTGCTGCTCTCTTCAAAGCTGGCAGGCAGGAAAACTTAAGTCTGCTGAAGCTGTGCCCACAGCTGCCCCTTCCCCCAGGTGCTCTGTCCCAGGGAGATGGGGGTTTTATCTATAAGCCCCTGACTGGGGCTGCTGCCTTTCTTTCAGAGATGCCCTGCCCAGAGAGGAGGAATCTAGAGAGGCAGTCTGGCTACAGCAGCTTTGCCAAACTGTGGTGTGCTCCACCCCGTTTGAACTTCCCAGTGGTTTTGTGTACACTGTGAGGGGGAAACCATCTACTCAAGCCTCAGCAATGGCAGATGCTCCTCCCCCGACTGCTGTGCTAGCAGGGAGAATTTAAAGCCAGTGGATTATAACTTGCTGGGCTGCATAGGGGTAGGATCCACTGAACTAGACCACTTGACTCCCTGGCTTCAGCCCCCTTTCCAGGGGAGTGAATGGTTCTGTCTCGCTGGTGTTCCAGGCACCACTGGGGTATGAAAAAAAAATTCTGCAGCTAGCTCAGTGTCTGCCCAAATGGTCACCCAGTTTTTGCTCGAAACCCAGGGCCCTGGTGGCATAGGCACCCAAGGGAATCCTCTGGTCTGTGGGTTGTGAAGACCGTGGGAATAGCATAGTATCTGGGCCGGAATGCACCATTCCTCGTGGCAGTCCCTCACGGGTTCCCTTGGCTAGGAGAGGAAGTTCCCTGACCCCATGTGCTTCCCAGATGAGGTGATGCCCCACCCTGCTTTGGCTCACCCTCCATAGGCTGCACCCACTGTCTAACCAGTCCCAGTGAGATGAGCCAGGTACCTCAGTTGGAAATGCAGAAATCACCTGCCTTCTGCATTGATCTAGTTGGGATCTGCAGACTGGAGCTCTTCCTATTTGGCCATCTTAAGTGTATCTTATTAAACTCTTAACAGTAAGTTGCTAATATAGCCACTGACGAGATAGGTGAAAATGTAACTTGTACTCCAAAACGTAATCATGGGTAGCTCTCTCCTTATCCAAGCTTCTACTATTACCCATATTCTGGTTCTACTATGTTCTAACTCAGATTTACCTATATTCTCACATACCAGTCATACTGGGGAGATTAGGCACAAGCATGGATCTCTTCTCCTAATGTATACATATTTATCTACCGAGAAGAAATGACATGGAAGATTGTATCAGTCAGGTTACAGATAGACAACTACAAGCTCCCCATAAATGGGTAAAGAAGAGAGATTAATACATTGATAATTACCAAAAGTGTGGTCAGGACTAAGGAAAATGCATCAGGGAATTATGAGGCAGGCAGAGACTAACAACAGAGGGAAACAATTACTATCCCTATACCTGAAGGAGAAACAAAAAGAAATCAGTTTGGAAGAATAGCAATACTAGTTAATCTTAGCAGGAGCTAAGCAAAATTCAACCTCTATAGCAAAATTCAACCACTGCCTATTCATGCCTCAACAGGTAGGTCTCTATAGGACATGCCCCAACTTTTCCTTCCTCCCACTTCCCAATATCCTGCTGATATCTTCCATTGGCCAAAATCAACTGGGAGTGGAGCCAGAGGACAAAGAAGCTAGTTGCAGTATGCTTTCCCAGGGCACATAACAGGATGACAATGGGTGGAGAGTGGATCTAAAAAGACCAGTGGAGAATATCCAGCACGGAGGACAATGTACATATTTCAATAAAGCTATAGGAGACAGGAAATAAATGTTGAGTGATTACTGATGAAGCAGCATGGAATAAAAGGACCAACTGAGTTCCAAGAAGAATAAGTTAAAAAGTGTCCAAACATAGTCATATTGCCTCCCTTCTGCTTCATCAGACTTACATGATTATAAATGTTCATGAAAACAAAAATGAAAAGAAGAATCTAAGTTGGTAGCATTAGACATCTCGTGAGCAATAATGGGTGTCAGAACATAATGAATGCCTTCAAAGTTCCAAAGGAAAAAAACAATTTCAACCTAGTGTACTCTACCTAGCCAGATAATAAAACATAAAAACAAGATATATAGAAATTTTCAAACATATAAGAATTCCAAAACTTTACACACCCTAAAGCCTTTCTTAAGAGTTTGTCTGATGATATGCTCCAACAAAACAAGAAAGTAAACTATCATGACAAAAGAAGAAATTGAACTACTTGAAGAAAAGCAACTGAGAGAATTTCTGAGCTTGGAAAAACTCAAGGCTATAATAAATGCAAATAATGTAAGTAATTAAAGAATGAAAGATAAATCTGCCCTCACCAGATGTTAAAAGAAAAAAAAAGCTATTTTTGAAAAGGCAGCTTAAATTTGAGTGAAACTAAAACATGGCATGAATATGAGTAAATGATAAAAAGAGAACTCTTTTGAATTTGATACTAGATTTACTTTCTTTTGCATGACACTGAATATTGACTTTGTAAACTTAGAGAAGGAAGTATAATCACAGTGTATGACTTGACTCAAAAGCAATATTTTCTTAACAGCTGAAATACTGTGAGTGTTATTTACAGGTAGTTTTCCAACTTTGCCCCTCCTTTCAGAGGAGTCCCAGTGTTTATTGTTCACATCTTTTTGTCCTTGGGTACCCAATGTTTAGCATCTACTTATAAGTGAGAACATGCAGTATTTGGTTTTCTGTTTCTGCATTAATTTACTTAGGATAATAGCCTCCAGCTGCATCCACGTTGCTTCAAAGGACATGATTTCATTCTTTTTTGTGGCTACGTAGTATTCCATGGTGTATATGTACCACATTTTCTTTATCCAAAATGATTTCTCTTTATCAGCCATTATGAACAAGTTGATACTTTTAACTATGTGGATGTTTTATTTTAATAATAATTTTAAGTAAGATTTTTTTTCTCTAAAATCCTGTATCTGTAATGTAATTCTCTCATTTTCAGGCCTACCTATTAAATATTTGCTTAGATATATCCCGTATATACCTTAACTTCAAAATACATCCTCTTCCTACTCCTCCCCTCCAAAAACACCTGTTCCTGCTTCTCCTCCTCCTATCATTCATATTTTACCTACTGACCCAGGTAAAAAGATGGGAATTAATTTAGACACCACCTCCCACAGATACACACACACACACACACACACACACACACACACACACACACACACACTCCTACATCCAGCTTGTCACAGAGTAGAATCATTGTATGTTCTTATCTCTCTAAATCATTCCCTCCTTTGCTTTCCTAGTGCCTTATCTCAGTCTCTCATTATCCTAATAGCCTCCTAAGTGGTCTTTCTCACCACTTCCCAACACAGCAATCTATATTTCACACTGCTGCCAGGGGACTTTTTCTAAGTTCAAATCTTATGCCATCTCTCAATCCTCTCTGAAATTCACCTGAAAGCATCACCCTTTATTCCTTTCAGAATAAAATCCAAATTCCTCAGCATGGCGCACGAAGAGCTCAACATGACCCCAAACACTTGATGCTCCGATCACACCAAACACGAAGCATTTCTCCAACAAAACAAGATTATAATAGAAATCAGATATAAAGCAATCAATTATGAAACCTCTTTTGTACTGTATAAACTAGTATTGATTACAAGTGTGTCTCTATTGAGAATTAATACCTGGCCAGCCAAGGTGGGGGTAAAAGCTCATATAGACAAAGCATGGAAACTCGTGGCTGCTCTGAGTGCATGGCTGGATGCTCTGCAAACATTTCTTTGGACTTCTGTCCTTGGGCTCTTTTGTTTACCTTCCACAGTCGTGATAAATGCAGCAAACTCAATTGTAAGGTCAGGACCCATCAACAGAAGAAACTGAGGCTGTGTGTGTGGAAGAGTAAATGAGAAAATGTTTTAATTTTGTCCATTTTGATGTTTTGTTGAAAATATTTTTTAAAAGCCATTAGAACAATAGCAAATATCTTTTTTATCGAAATCTCTGCAAGAGAAACAAAAACTTACTATAGAAGTCGGAGGCTCTCAAGCATCTTACCTATGTTTTTCTATTGAAGATAGATTTTCTATTTTAATAGTGGAAGATTTCTTAAGAATGTAATAATGGATATGTAATATTTAATAATGGAAGATTTCTTAAGAATAATAATAAAAAAATTTCTATTTTAATAATGGAAGATTTCTTAAGAATGTAGCCAAACAGACTCTACTTCCTCTACCTGCTAATTTTTGCTAGTGTGTTTTCACTTAGCAAAATTATCGTCATTTTTAGAAAGGTTTTGCTGATTCTCTCAGCCCAAATCTAGCTCTCTTTATTCTTGCTGCCGTTGCACTCTCGACGTATTTTTCTCCTTAAACTAGCACCCTATGTTACAACTGTTAATTTAATGCTGTCTTTCTCCTGCCTGCTCCAAAAAGGAACTTGAGAGTAGAAGCCCTCCTTCATCTATGTATCACCATGGCTTCAAGTGATGCTTCAGACATAATAAGCTCACAGTACATGCTTGTTAAAAAGCACTGACAGATTTATTGTGCAACGTGTATTGCCTGATTGTATCATTGCTATTCTTGTTTATTTTGCAAATTTTAAATGGTTCAGGAACTCCTTCCTGAAAATTGTCTCAGAAGCTTCAAGTTTCTAAGCTATACTAATCTATTCCCCAGCATTTATTAAGGTAACCCATATGCAAATTGGGGTAAAACACTATGGAAAATCATTCTATTTATTTCATATCCAGGGAGCTGGACTACATTCAAACTGTTATCCATCCTAACTGATAAAAATGATTAAATGGCATTGTCTTCTGAAACCTCGTTTCTTGCCGAACTAGGAAAGCATTTAGAAATCAATAACTCATAAAACTTGCTAATAGCTTCAAATAAGCTTTTTCAGAATTGTACCATTAGTGGAAGTGCCTGGATAACATGTGCTGTATCCACCTTCTCCTTCACACAATGAACATTAAAACACCAGCTGTGTATATTTATTTATTAAATTGTTTACTTAAGATTTATATTCCACCTTCCTCTAAAATAATTGTATGAGAATTATCAGCTAGGAAAATCATTAATATCTGTGTTTCAGGAACTTTATGATTCATGGGTGTGTGGCCGTAGCTAATAGTAGTTAGGTTCTAACTCAGTAGCTTAGTTTTATATCTGCTTCCTCTGGCCTTTGTATCAGCAACTTTTCAGGAATAGTTTATAGATCAAGAATATTGTTAAATTACATAGTTTGTGTACAGAATATAGAGTGACTCTGTACGATTCTGTGTGTACAGAAAACAAAGAGAAATTATTTAATGCTTTCTCATATAATCAAATGATGGTAAGTTTATTCTAAAGTTCAATAACTACAGCTGAGAATTCAAAAGCAAAACATTAAAGAGAGAGTCATTATACTTCAGAAAAAATCCATGGCTATAGCAAATAGCACACTTTAAATGGACGCCTTAACTTGTATGTTGAGTTATGCCTCAATAATTAGGAAAAATCATATCTACAATGACAAAATATTAATGGCTTTGTAGGGCTGGGAAAGTAAAGACAATATAAAGACACATGAAGGAAATTTTGGGAGTTATGGAAATATTCTGTATTTTGATGGTGGTTAGTCTTTATTTGGGTTAATATATTTGTCAAAACTTATTAAATATGAAAAAGCACTTATTTTATTTTATATAAATTACACCTCAATAAAACTGAGTTGAAAAAATCAATGGCTAAACAAAGCAAAGCACCATTAAAAGCTATTTTAAATATTTATAATAATAAATAATAAGTACTTTATTTTTTTAATTATACTTTAAGTTCTGGGGTACATGTGCAGAATGTGCAAGTTTGTTACATAGGTATACACGTGCCATGGTGGTTTACTGCACCCATCAACCCATCATCTACATTAGGTATTTCTCCTAACGCTATCCCTCCCTCAGGTGCCCATCCCCTACAGGCCCCGGGGTGTGATGCCCCCCTGCCATGCCCATGTGTTCCCATTGTTCAACTCCCATATGAGTGAGAATATGTGGTGTTTGGTTTTCCGTTCTTGTCTTAGTTAGCTGAAAGTGATGGTTTTCAATTTCATCCATGTCCCTGCAAAGGACATGAACTCATCCATTTTTACAGCTTCATAGTATTCCATGGTGTATATGTGCCACATTTTCTTTATCTCGTCTATCATTGATGGGCATTTGATCTGGTTCCAAGTCTTTGCTACTGTGAATAGTGCTGCAATAAACATATGTGTGCATGTGTCTTTATAGTAGCATGATTTATAATCCTTTGGGTATATACCAAGTAATGGGATTGCTGGGTCAAATGCTATTTCTAGTTCTAGATCCTTGAGGAATTGCCACACTGTCTTCCACAATGATTGAACTAATTTACACTCCCACCAACAGAGCAAAAGCGTTCCTATTTCTCCACATCCTCTCCAGCATCTGTTTCCTGACTTGTTAATGATCACCATTCTAACTGGCATGAGATGGTATCTCATTGTGCCTTTGATTCTCATTTCTCTGATGACCAGTGATGATGAGGTTTTTTTCATGTTTGTTAGCTGTATAAATGTCTTCTTTTGAGAAGTGTCTGTTCTATTCTTCACCCATTTTTTGATGGGGTTGTTTTTTTCTTGTAAATTTGTTTAAGTTCTTTGTAGATTCTGGATATTAGCCCTTTGTCAGATGGATAGATTGCAAACATTTTCTCCCATTCTGTAGGTTGCCTGTTCACTCTGATGGTAGTTTCTTTTGCTGTGCAGAAGCTCTTTAGTTTAATTAGATCCCATTTGTCAATTTTGGCTTTCGTTGCCATTGCTTTTGGTGTTTTAGTCATGAAGTCCTTGCCCATGCCTATGTCCTGAATGGAATTGCCTAGATTTTCTTCTACAGTTTTTATGTTTTTAGGTCTTATGTTTAAGTCTTTAATCCACTTTGAGGTAATTTTTATATAAGGTGTAAGAAAGTTTCAGCTTTCTGCATATGGCTAACCAGTTTTCCAACATCATTTATTAAATAGGGAATCCTTTCCCCGTTGCTTGTTTTTGTCAGGTTTGTCAAAGATCAGATGGTTGTAGTTGTGTGGTGTTATTTCTGACACTTCTGTTCTGTTCCACTGGTCTATATATCTGTTTTGGTACCAGTACCATGCTGTTTTGGTCACTGCAGCCTTGTAGTGTAGTTTGAAGTCAGGTAGCATGATGCTTCCAGCTTTGTTCTTTTTGCTTGGGATTGTCTTGGCTATATGGGCTCTTTTTTGGTTCCATATGAAATTTACGGTATATTTTTTCAATTCTGTGAAGAAAGTCAATGGTAGCTTGAAGGGGATAGCATTGAATCTATAAATTACTTTGGGCAGTATGGCCATTTTCACAATATTGATTCTTCCCGTCCATGAGCATGGAATGTTTTTCCATATATTTGCATCCTTTCTTATTCTTTGAGCAGTGGTTTGTAGCTCTCCTTGAAGAGTTCCTTCACATCCCTTTTAAGTTGTATTCGTAGGTATTTATTTTATTCTCTCTATAGCAATTGTGAATGGGAGTTCACTCATGATTTGGCTCTCTGTCTGTTCATCTGTTCTTGGTGTGTAGGAATGCTTCTGATTTTTGCACATAGATTTTGTATCCTGAGACTTTGCTGAAATTGCTTACCAGCTTAAGGAGATTTTGGGCTTAGACAATGGGGTTTTCAAAATATACAATCATGTCACCCGCAAACAGAGACAATTTGACTTCCTCTTTTCCTAATTGAATACCTTTTATTTATTTATTTTGCCTGATTGCCACAGCCAGAACTTCCAATACCATGTTGAAGAGGAGTGATGAGAGAGGGCATCCTTGTCTTGTGCTGGTTTTCAAAAGGAATGCTCTCAGTTTTTGCTCATTCAGTATGATATTGGCTGTGGGTTTGTCATAAACAGCTCTTATTATTTTGAGATTTGTTTCATCAATACCTAGTTTACTCATAGCTTTTAGCATGAAGGCTGTTGAATTTTGTCGAAGGCCTTTCTGCATCTATTGAGATAATCATGTGCTTTTTGTCGTTGGTTCTGTTTATGTGATAGATTACTTTTATTGATTTGCATATATTGAACCAGCCTGCATCCAAGGGATAAAACCAACTTGATCATAGTGGATAAGCTTTTTGATGTGCTGCTGGATATGGTTTGCCAGTATTTTATTGAGGATTTTTGCATGGATGTTCATCAGGGATACGGGCCTGAAATTTTCTCTTTTTGTTGGGTCTCTGACAGGTTTTGGTATCAGGATGACGCTGGCCTCATAAAATGAGTGAGGGAGGATTCCTTCTTTTTCTATTGTTTGGAATAATTTTAGAAGGAATGGTACCAGCTCCTCTTTGTGCCTCTGGTAGAATTCGGCTGTGAATCCATTTGGTCCTGGACTTTTTTTGGTTTGCAGGCTATTAATTACTGCCTCTATTTCAGAATTTGTTATTGGTCTATTCAGGGATTCGATTTCTTCCTGGTTTAGTCTTGGGAGGGTATATGTGTCCAGGAATATATCCATTTCTTCTAGATTTTCTCGTTTATTTGCATAGAGGTGTTTATAGTATTCTCTGATGGTAGTTTGTATTTCTGTGGCATCAGTGGTGATATCCCCTTTATCATTTTTTTATTGTGTCTATTTGATTCTTTTCTCTTTTCTTCTTTATTAGTCTGGCTAGCAGTCTATGTATTTTGTTGATCTTTTCAAAAAACCAACTCCTGGATTCATTGATTTTTTTGAAGCAGTTTTTTTGTCTCTATCTCCTTCAATTCTGCTCTGATCTTAGATATTTCTTGTCTTCAGCTAGCTTTTGAATTTGTTTGCTTTTGCTTCTTTAGTTCATTTAATTGTGATGTTAGGGTGTCAACTTTAGATCTTTCCTGCTTTCTCCTGTGGGCATTTAGTGCTATAAATTTCCCTGTAAACACTGCGTTAGCTATGTCCCAGAGATTCTGGTACGTTGTGTCTGTGTTCTCACTGGTTTAAAAGAACATCTTTATTTCTGCTTTAATTTCATTATTTACCCAGTAGTCATTCAGGAACAGGTTGTTCAGTTTCCATGTAGTTGTGTGGTTTTGAGTGAGTTTCTTAATCCTGAGTTCTAATTTAATTGTACTGTGGTCTGAGAGACTGTTTGTTATGATTTCTGTTCTTTTGTATTTGCTAAGGAGTGTTTTACTTCCAATTATATGGTCAATTTTAGAGTAAGTGCAGTGTGGTGCTGAGAAGAATGTATATTCTGTTGATTTGGGGTAGAGAGTTCTGTAGTTGTCTATTAGATCCACTTGGTGCAGAGCTGAGTTCAAGTCCTGGATATCCTTGTTAATTTTCTGTCTCATTGAACTGTTTAATATTTAGCATATATATGTGGGATAGTTAGCTCTTCTTGTTACATTGATCCCTTTACCATTATGTAATGCCCTTCTTTGTCTCCTTTGATCTTTGTTGGTTTGAAGCCTGTTTTTTCAGAGACTAGGATTGCAACCCGTACTTTTTTTTTTGCTTTCCATTTGCTTGGTAAATATTCCTTCATCCCTTTATTTTGAGCCTATGTGTGTCTTTGCACTTGAGATGGGTCTCCTGAATACAGCACACTGACGGGTCCTGACTCTTAATCCAATTTGCTAGTCTGTGTCTTTTAATTGTGGCCTTTAGCCCATTTACATTTAAGGTTAATATTGTTATGTGTGAATTTGTTCCTGTCATTATGATGCTAGCTGGTTATTTTCCCCCTTAGTTGACGCAGTTTCTTTATAGCATCAAAGGTCTTTACAATTTGGTATCTTTTTGCAGTGGCTGGTACCTATTGTACCTTTCCATGTTTAGTGCTTCCTTCAGGAGCTCTTGTAAGGCAGCCCTGGTGGTGACAAAATCTCTCAGCATTTGCTTGTCTGTAAAGGATTTTATTTCTCCTTCACTTATGAAGCTTAGTTTGGCTGGATATGAAATTCTGGGTTGAAAATTCTTTAAGAATGTTGAATATTGACCCCCACTCTCTTCTAGCTTGCAGGGTTTCTGCAGAGAGATCCACTGTTAGTCTGATGAGCTTCCCTATGTGGGTAACCTGACCTTTCTGGCTGGCTGCCCTTAACATTTTTTCCTTCATTTCAACCTTGGTGAATCTGACAATTACATGTCTTGGGGTTGCTCTTCTCAAGTAATATCTTTTTGGTATTCTCTGTATTTCCTGAATTTGAGTGTTGGCCTGCCTTGCTAGGTTGGGAAAGTTCTCCTGGTTAATATCCTGAAGAGTGTTTTCCAACTTGGTTTCATTTTTCTGTTCACTTTCAGGTACACCAATCAAATGTAGATTTGGTCTTTTCACATAGTCCCATATTTCTTGGAGGCTCTGTTCATTTCTTTTCGTTTTTTTTCTCTAATCTTGTCTTCTCACTTTATTTCATTGAGTTGATCTTCAATCTCAATATCCTTTCTTCCACTTGATTGATTCAACAATTGAAACTTGTGTATGCTTTATGAAGTTCTCATGCTGTGTTTTTCAGCTCCATCAGGTCATTTATGTTCTTCTGTAAATAGATTATTCTAGTTAGCAATTTGTCTAACCTTTTTTCAAGGTACTTAGTTTCCTTGCATTGGGTTAGAACATGCTCCTTTAGCTCTAAGGGTTTGTTATTACCCACCTTTTGAAGCCTACTTCTGTCAATTCGTCAAACTCATTCTCTGTCCGGTATTGTTCCCTCACTGGCAAGGAGTTATGATCCTTTGGAGGAGAAGAGGCATTCTGGTTTTTGGAATTTTCAGCCTTTTTGCTCTAGTTTCTCCCCAACTTTGTGGTTTTATCTACCTTTGGTCTTTGATGCTGGCGACCTTCGGATAGAGTCTCTGAGTGGATGCCCTTTTTGTTGATGTTGACACTATTCCTTTCTGTTTGTTAATTTTCCTTCTAACAGTCAGGCCCCTCTGCTGCAGGTCTGCTGGAATTTGCTGGAGGTCCACTCCAGACCCTGTTTGCCTGGGTATCACCAGCAGAGGCTGCAGAACAGCAAAGATTGCTGCCTGTTTCTTCCTCTGGAAGTTTTGTCCCAGAGGGGCACCTGCCAGATGCCAGCTGGAGCTCTCCTGCATGAGGTGTCTGTCAGCCCCTACTGGGAGGTGTCTCCCAGTCAGGATACACAGAGGTCAGGGACCCACTTGAGGAGGCAGTTTGTCCCTTATCAGAGCTTGAACTCTGTCCTTGGAGATCCACTGCTCTCTTCAGAGCTGTCAGGCAGGGATGTTTAAGTCTGCTGAAGCTGCATCCACAGCCACCCCTTCCCCGAGGTCCTCTGACCCAGGGAGTTTGGGGTTTTATCTGTAAGTCCCTGGTTGGGGCTGCTGCCTTTTTTTTCAGAGATGCCCTGCCCAGAAAGGAGGAATCTAGAGAGGCAGTCTGGCCACATCCGCCTTGCTGAGCTGCGGTTGGCTCCGCCCAGTTCAAAGTTCCCAGCAGCTTTGTTTACACTGTAAGGGGAAAACCACCTACTCAAGCCTCAGCAATGGCGGACACGCCTCCCCCAACCAACCTCAAGCATCCCATGTCAACCTCAGGCTGCTGTGCTGGCAGCAAGAATTTCAAGCCAGTGGATCTTAGCTTGCTGTGCTCCATGGGGGTGGTACCTGCCAAGCCAGACCACTTGGCTCCCTGGCTCCAGCCCCTTTTCCAGGGGAGTGAATGGTTCTCTCTTGCTGGCATTCCAGGTGCCACTGGGGTATGAAAAAAAAACTCCTGCAGCTAGCTCAGTGTCTGCCCAAATGGCCGCCCAGTTTTGTGCTTGAAACTCAGGGCCCTGGTGGCATAGGCACCGGAGGGAATCTCCTGGTCTGCCAATTGTGAAGACCATGGGAAAAGTGCACTATCTGAGCTGGAGTGCACTGTTCCTCTCAATACAGTATCTCATGGCTTCCCTTGGCTGGGGGAGGGAGATCCCCCAACCCCTTGCATTTCCTGGGTGAGGCAACACCCCACCCTGCTTCGGGTCGCCCTTTGTGGGCTGCACCCACTGTCCAACCAGTTCCAATGAAACTAACCAGGTACCTCAGTTGGAAATGCAGAAATCACCTGTCTTCTGCATTGATCTCGCTGGGAGCTGCAGACTGGAGCTATTTCTATTTGGCCATCTTGCCAGCAAATCCCAAGTACTGTATCTTTATGGTAACTTTTCTTTGCCAGAGATCTCACAGATAAAAATAATGCACGTAGATCTCATTAGGAAAATAACATTTTGAAATTTTTCAATAAATAGAAATTATTAATGTTTAACTATGTAAGATCACCCCATTGCTCTTTATTAAAATGTGCATAACATTCCATATGTATAACTTACCAGCCAGCTCCAAAGCCTGTTCTAAAAGAAATGCAGGTACAAAAGATGGGTTAAAAACTTGTGAATTTACAAATACAGTTCACCCTATGTTACATTTAGGTGGAGAAATTGTCTCATCAAAATGGATGAGCTTTGACAGTAACATGTATCAACTAGATAAAATCTGAAGAAAATACTTCCACAAGTAATAGTGAAGTGCTATATGTGGTGAGTGTCCATGGCACCTTACTTGTGAGTGGAGACCTCTCACACATGGCCCCCCATTATCTTTTGAATGTCCTGTACATTTTATGAGTTTCTCCATTGGGCATTTTGTATTCCCAAGATAAAATTCAGAAAACCCATTTTCCCACCATTCTTGGCATCTAGGATGCAAGCAAATTGGTTCCACCAATCAGACACACTCACATGAGATTTCAAATCATAATATAAGAAAACAGGCTAAATGTTGGGTGTCTATTTTCCTGGTTCAGGTGACAGCTGAGTATCTTGCTTTAAGGGGTAGCAGTAGAAATTACAGTAAAGTTAATTGAGCACATGGCATCTATAGCAGTTTTACAGAAGTGGAGTTCCTGACATCTGAAGTCTGGGTTGTGGCAGCAGTGGTGGTGGCAGTTTCCACGGTAGGAGAGTCCTGTGGAATGCTTCTGGAGTCAGAGGCAGCAGCAACAGTTTGCTCATCAGGCCAGTGTATGGCTGCTGCTGGACATGGTACCCACTAATTTAGCCTGATGCCTATTTCTTCACCCCTGATAAGGATTCTCTGAACTACCAATTTTCTCTACTAAATTCTTTGTTATCTTAAACATGCTGGAATGTTTTCTGTTTGCCACTTTGGCCAGTATACACATCTTTTTTTTTTTTCTTTTTTTCTTGAGACAGAGTCTCACTCTTTCACCCAGGCTAGAGTGCAGTGGCGTGATCTCAGCTCACTGCAATCTCTGATTCCCAGGTTCAAGCAATTCTCCTGCCTTAGCCTCCTGAGTAGCTGGGATTACAGGTGCTCACCACCATGCCTGGCTAATTTTTGTATATTCAGTAGGTTTCACCATGTTGGTCAGGCTGGTCTCGAACTCCTGAGCTCAGGCAATCCTCCTGCCTCGGTCTCCCAAAGTGCTGGGATTACAGGCGTAAGCCACCACACCCAGCTCAGTATACACATCTTAGAATCATCAAGGAATAAGCCTGATGTTGGAGGCTTCCTAGAAAGTTAAGAACATGTAGAGCAAATTCCATTTCAGTGTATTTCTGAAAGGTCTATCTTGTTATAGTGGCCACAGAATGGGCACCATCTCATAAGCTCTTCCAGGGAGGTATCTGCCCTTCCCGAAATGGGACAATTTTAGTGTTTATTCAGCTACTTAAAGTCTCTATTGGTGTTACTCCAGTACCCCGGGGCATACAATGAATCCCAGAGTTATGTGTAATAATTATAAATTATATCCTTCGAGACTCATCTATTTCTAGTCTTCCTCTCTGTCTCTCTCTGAGTGATCTCATCAAGTCCAAGGGCTTAAATACGGTCTATACTCCCTAATTTCCATGCAGTTTAATTTCTCCTCTGAAATCTAGATTCATGTACAACTACTTGCTAGTCTTCGATGTCTAATAGGTAGCTAAAATTTCACCTGGCCATTTCTTAGACATGACATTAAAAGAAAAAGTGACAAAAGAAAAAATAGACAAATTGGACTACATTAAAATCAAAAGCTTTTGTAGTGCAAACAATAACATCAAAACAGGTGAATACAATCCAAAGAACAGAAGAAAATATTTACAAATCATATACCTGACAAAGAGGTCTTGTATTCAGAATATGTAAAGAAGTCATACAACTCAACAATTAAAAAAACATGTTTGGTCGGGCATGGTGGCTCACACCTGTAATCCCAGCACTTTGGGAGGCCAAGGCAGGTGGATTGCCTGAGGTCAGGAGTTCAAGACCAGACTTGCTAAGATGGTGAAACCCCGTCTCTACTCAAAACACAAAAATTAGCCAGGTGTGATGGCACGCACCTGTAATCCCAGGTACTCAGGAGGCTGAGGCAGGAGAATTGCTTGAACCTGGGAGATAGAGGTTACAGTAAGCCAAGATCATGCCACTGCACTCCAGCCTGGGAGACAGAGTAAGACTCCATCTCAAAAAAAAAAAAAAAAACAGTTTAAAAATGAGCAAAGAATATGAATAGACATTTTTCCAAGGAATTTATACAAATGAACTACAAGCACATGAAAAGATGCTCAACAACATAGTATTAGGGAAATGCAAATCGAAACCACAATGACCTACCACTTCACACTCACTAAGATGACTATAATAAAAAATATAGACAATAACAAATGTTGGCAAGGATATGGAGGAATTGAAACTCCTATTCATTGCTGGTGGGAATTTAAATGGTGAAGCCACTTTGGAAAGTTTGGCAGCTCCTCAAAATACTAAACGTAGAGTTACTATACAACCCACCAATTCCACTTTTGGTTACATATAGAAGAGTAAAGACAGCATATATTCATGCAAAAACTTGCACACAAACATTCATAGCAGCATTATTTATAATAGCCAAAAAGTGGAAGCAATACAAATATTTATAATAGCCAAAAAGTGGAAGCATCTGATTGATACATGCCACAGCATGTATGAACCATGCAAACATTAAGTTAAATCAAAGAATCCACTCATAAAATTCCATATATCACAGCATTTCTTCATATAAGATGCCAAAAGTGGAGAAATCTATAGAGACAGAAAGCAGGGTGGCTAGGAGCAGGGAAATAAGTACAAGTTTCTTTTGAAGTGATTGAAATGTTCTAAATATAGATTGTGGTGATAGTTGCATGACACTGTGACTATACTAAAAAATTATTGAATTGTGCACTTTAAATATGTAAATTTTATTTTATATGATTATATTTCAATACAGTTTTAAAAAATAAAAACAAAAACCTCAACATGGCCAAAACTGAACCCTTAACTATTGACTCCCTTATACCGATTCTTCTCTGAGTTTTCACTTAGTTGTCCAGGCCAATAACATAGACGTCATCCTTGATTATTCATTATATGTCTCCCACATTCAATACAGCTACAAATTCATTGTCATTACCTCCAAGTATATCTGAGGTCAGACCATCTCAGTCCTTCTCAGCTCTAGTCCAAATTAGCATCCTCTGCATTCCAGTGTGCTTTCTAATTGGTGTTTCAACTTCCATATTTGCCTCCATGAGTCTGTTTGCATATGACAGCTAGCTCACTTTTTTAAAACTGTAAACCAGATCACATCATCCACTGCTTATAATCCTCCAATGAATTGAACTGAAATAAAATTCAATCTCCTTTTCCTAGCCCACAGACCCTAGGGAATCTAGTGTCTGCCTTCCTCAGCAAGTCCACTGCATGCCCTTGGAATGCTGACTTCCTCATCTTCCTTGAATAGACCAAATCTGTTTTGGTCTCTTGACTTTTGTACTTACTATTCCTTCTGACGCTCATGACTAATCTATTTCATCACTCAGGTTTCAACTCAAAGGTCACCCCTTCCAAGGCACTTTCTAATATAGCATTTCCTCTCAGTGGTGCTTCATCTTATTATATCCTCCTTTATTTTCTTAATAGTATTCATAATTAGCTAGGATTATCTCAATTTTTATTATGGTAAATACACACAAAATAAAATTTACCACCTTAACCATTTTTAAGTGTACCGTATTAACTACACACACATTGTTGTCCAACAGATCTCCAGAACTTTTTCGTCTAGTGAAACTGAAACTCTATACCCATTGAACAATTCCCCTTTTAAGTGGAATTATGCAGTCTTTGTCTTTTTCGGACTGACTTACTTCACTTAGAATAATGTCCTCAAAGTTCATGCATGTTATAGTCAATCCTTTATTTATCTGGTTATTATCTGTTCTCTTGCTAGATTGTAAGCATTGTGAGAGCAGAGACATTATCTACCTTGTTCATTGCTGTATCCCTGCACCTAGAACAATTGAAGGAAGTTCCACAGTGATGGCAAGACTGGATTTGAAACTTGGAGGATGTCATTAAACAAAAGAAGCAATATTCCCCAAAAATGAAGATCAGGAGTGTCAGCAAAGACATTGGAATGAATATGGCCTATTAGTGGCATAAAGAGATTAGTATGACTCAATAATAGAGATTAGTATAAAATAATTTGGCATAGGTAGATAGGACCAGACTCTCATAATCCTGACTGTCAGTCTGAGTTTCTGGATTTTATCCTAGAGGCAATAAAGCAATGAAAATTTTTGTACAGGAAAGTATTTTTATACAGGGAAATTGGGGGAATTATTTACTAAGCATCTACTTTATGCTAAAAGAGTGCATACATTATTTTTTTAAACTTACAATAGCCCTGTGTATAACCTTCATTTTCCAGAAAAATATTTTGGATAAGCAATTAATTATGAGGACAATTCAGACTAGAACAATAAGAGTAGAGATATTTTAGTATTTATATTTAATTTATAAGCATTTAATTTTTAATTTTTCAAAGGAGAAATAATAAGACAAGGTAATAGATTCTGAATGGAGAAAGAGGAGAAAAATATTTCAAAATATTTTACCAAGATGTTTAGAAAGGAAGGAGACACACAGAACTAATCAGGACAGTTGACTGGGAGAGAGTCAACTCTCCCAGAAGAAAAAGGAAAGGTTTTAACAGAACACCTAAATAGAAAACTCCGGCAGATATTTTAAAATGTGACACTGAAGCAGTCACAAAAGATCAAAAGCTGTTGATGGAGAATTTGAGTACTTTTTTCCCCATAGAATGATGTAGTTTCATAACTGAATTAAATTAGTGACTTTGCAAAATTTAAATGTAGCTTTTTGTTTGATTTTTCTAACAAAAGCAAACTCTCTACCATATTTGTAATGATTCTACAGAAAATTCTCCCCATGTGAGATTTAACTTTGGGCTCAATCTCTAAAGCGGGCTGGCTTGAGACATCCACAGAGGAGCGAGTTCATATAGAGTAAGATCATGCAAACATGTAGGAATGAGGAGAAGGACAGTATGGTTTAAAATTATTGTTTACAAAGTCATACTCACCTTATAACCCCACAGTTGCTTTTATATTTCCCAAAACCAAACAAATAAAGCAGAAGTGTTCAGGTGTCCTAGAAGCCACTCTGTTCCAGAAACCTTCAGCAGCATTTCAGATTTTAGGATCTGAAGTCTAAAAAGTGTTATCTTTCTGTTGTTTGGATCTTCATTACATTTCTCTTCTCCATTAAATCTTTTCCATATGTTACCCCTGGGCCCTTGTTGTGAATGCTTGGATTCACATCCAGTTAAATGCTCATTATTTTCAACATCCTCTCAGATTTTCTTCCCTAAATTATTATAGTATTGCACAGGGGAACTTGACATCGCAAGGAAACAGTCAGAAGGCTTAACAGCAGTGGATAAAGATAAAGAACAGGCTTTGTTAAATTTGACTTCTCATAAGGTTTTTCTAAAGTTAAACTTTGACTTTAATGTGAATATATTTGAATGCATTAAATGTTCATTCATTTTTGTTTTACCTGTTTACCATTTACCTGTATGATCAATGTGAGCAAACACACACAATGTACACTTTTCATTCATTTATTCAACATTTATTGAATCACTTCCTGTATACTAGGCATTGCACTGAATATTTTTCCAGAAACCTTATTCTTCCTTATATTAATATATAATTTAAAGTTAGTCATTCTCCAATATTCCCTTACATTTTCTTCCTGAGACTAGTTGTGCTGCTAAAAATAAGAATATTGATGTATTAATTTGGCTGTGATTCTTCATGCTGTTCTATTAAACTTTGCTGCCTTGCTGGAGTTTGTTTCCCTTCGAAGTTTAATAAGTATCCACTATGTGCCAGGTACTACACCTCGCACAAACAAGCTTCAAAGGTTAGGGTATTCGACAGCTGAAAACAGCACTTTTCCAACAAGGCTTGTATGTGGGTCATATTACAAACTGGCCCCAATCAACCTCTCAACCATAACTTATTTCTCTACACATTCATGGCTACCTCTCTATTCCAGCCATATTAAACTATGTCTCAGATTGAGACATTAAGCTTTAGATCTTATATTCACCTGTCCCTATTTCTGGTTCAAATTTAATGAAAGATTAATATCTAAGAACTACTATGTACCTCAGAAGATAAACAGAACAATCATAGAACAGTGATGTATGCAAACATTTAAGCAAGGAAACTGTAGGTATTTCTTCTCGGTAGGAAAAAAAATTGTAAAGATTTTTCAAAATATTTTATCATATGAATAAGTCCATAATAATAAATTCTAATTAATAGCATATAATTGGAATATAAACGGGGGGACATATGTTCAATATAACAATATTTTTATAACAGAATCAAATCTTTTTAAACTAGAAAAATTAGACCATGTTTATACAGTGTATATGCATATTATGGAGGAAGAATAGCACAGAGAATGGGATGACTGAATCTGGAGTCTGACAGTCCCAAGAAGGAATCCTAGGGCCATCACTTACTAGCTACAGGACCTCTGAAATATTTACATCTCAAAACTCCATTTTCCTAATCTGTCAAGTGTGGCTAGCCACAGAGTTATGAAAGTTAAATTAGTCTAACAATGAATAGCACATAGATGGTGCTTAATACATGTTATCAAATATTTCTTTTTTTGTATCTTCTTAAGTGTATTTAAATTTAAATAATTAACTTGGTATTTTCCTTTTGGTGATATTGTTTCCTATAAAGGAGTGGTGTCAAGGGAAGGAAGAGAACAGCAATGTCAATATTGAGCAATATAGACTAACTTTTTTTCTTCTCTCTAAAATAGGAGGATAGATTAGAAACTCGTTCTTAAGATTTCAGGCTCTTCACTGAGTATATCTGTCATGCTAACTGACTGTTTTATTTACTGATATTTGTAATTGTGCTTTTTGCCAGGTTTGCAGTAGGTATGAGGAGGGAATCAAGTATAAGTGTTGTAATCCTTTTGAATATTTATGTGTATTGAAGGCACTGGTTATTGTTATTCAGACTACATCTGCAGTAAGGAAGGCTGGCCTCCCATGGAAAACCTTTTCTTTCCCATTTTACCTCCACCTTTATCTATTTCTCAGGTCAGATTCAAGGCTACTGGTTCATCACCGTAAGGGTAAAGTTTTTGCTAATCCCATGTACTTCCCCATATCCTTTTTTTCTATGAAGAAGACAAGTGTGATTCTCCATTGAACTAAAGTAGTAAAATTCAAGACTGTGATTTGGGCTTGGAAGTGAAAATGGAAGAACGGGCTTAATCTGAGACTACTTTGATGTGCCTAGTATGACAGCTTATTAAGAGGCCAGGAAAAAGTTTTAATTGAACAGATGTGATTAAAGTGAAGTTAAAATGGCATTTTGGGTGTCTTTGCTAGGACATATCAATTCCTTAATTTATATCTCCCCATAATTTGCAAGGCAGATACATGTACAAGATGATAAACCAGAATAAAATTGTGCTTTATTAATGTCCAGGCCTTTCTACAAATCTCAGTGTTAAATCCCAGTTTTCTAGATTAAGACCAAATGAAAAACTCTTTTTACATTAGATGGGCCTAAGAAGCCTTGAATTAGGAGGTCCACTCTGTTTTTTTATACTTCAAAGCCAAGTTCAAATCCCATTTTGTCAGTGCTCTAGAGAAAGCTAAGGAAAGGGAGGAAGGGAATATATTATCTTATTTATACCCCTTCTGCTATGGCACCACTCCTAGAAATGTGACTTGCATAATGTCTTAATAAATCCCATTCAATACTTCCCCCTCATTGTTGTAGAATAAAGAAGGGTAGGTAAGCAAGTGGGAGATACAGAAAATGTTCTTCCCAAAGGCCAAGAAAAAGTTTTCTCATTAACTTTAAAATGTTTAATAGAAATTAAATTTGAGGATCTGCAAATTTTTGTATGTATAAATTAATTTTAATGTTTATGATCACCAATTTCCCAGGAAAATATGAAAAGATAATTATCTCTATATAGTCCTTAAACAGGCAGAAAGGCTCAAGCTCCAGGAATATTGATGTTAATTATTAATAAATGAAGCCAACTTGTTAGAGTAAAGAACTAAATGAAACTTCCTATATCCATAGTCATAATGATCTCATTACTTATTACTCTACAATCTGTAATCAGCATTTTGGAAATGATTTTCAGCAGTTAACTGGTAGACTTTTCCAAAACAATGCATAATATGATTAGTAGAAAAGGGTGAACACAATATTTCTCTTTAAAGAGAAGAGGAAGACCCACTTCAGAAAGGGGACTTACACTGTTATTTTTGTGATATATAGGGTGTAAGTTAAGCAAGCATTGGCTGGTGCTATGGTCTGAATGTTTGTTTCCTCTCAAAACTCATATGTTGAAAGTCTAGCTCCTAAGATGATGCTATTAGGAGATAGGACTTTTGGGAGGTGATTAGATCGTGAATGATATGAGATTAGTACTTGCTATGGTTTAAACGTTTTTGTCCCCTCCAAAAATTCATGTGTATCAGGGGAACCACCCCCGATAATTCAACATAGGTTCTTTTCTATTTTCCCTAAGTGTCAGCCAGTCTGAGAAATAAAGGGAAAGAGTACAAAAGAGAGAAATTTTAAAGCTGGGTGTCTGGGGGAGACATCATATGTCGGCAGGTTCCGTGATGCCCCCCAAGCTGCAAAACCAGCAAATTTTTTTTAGTGATTTTCAAAAGGGGAGGGAGTGTACGAATAGGGTGTGGGTCACAGAGATCACATGCTTCACAAGGCAATAAAATATCACAAGGCAAATGGGCACAGAGCGAGATCACAGGACTGGGCTGAAATTAAAATTGCTAATGAAGATTCGGGCACGCATTGTCATTAATAACATCTTATCAGGAGACAGGGTTTGAGAGCAGACGACCAGGGCGAAATTAAAATTGCTAATGAAGTTTCGGGCACGCATTGTCATTGATAACATCTTATCAGGAGACAGGGTTTGAGAGCAGATAACCGGTCTAAAATTTACTAGGCGGGAATTTCCTCATCCTGATAGGCCTGGGAGCACTATGGGAGACTGGGGCTTATTTCATCCCTTATCTGCAACTATATAAGACAGACATTCTCAGAGTGGCCATTTTAGAGACCTACCCCTGGGAATGCATTCTCTTTCTCAGGGCTGTTCCTTGCTGAGAAAAAGAATTCAGTGATATTTCTCTTATTCACTTTTGTAAGAAGAGAAATATGGCTCTGTTCCACCCAGCTCTCAGGCAGTCAGACCTAATTGGTTATCTCCCTTGTTCCCTGAACATCGCTGTTATCCTGTTCTTTTTCCAAGGTGCCCAGATTTCATATTGTTTAAATACACACGCTTTACGAATGATTTGTGCAGTTAACGCAATCATCACAGGGTCCTGAGGCGACATACATCCTCAGCTTACCAAGATGACAGGATTAAGAGATTAAAGACAGGCATGGGAAATCACAAGAGTTTTGATTAGGGAAGTGATAAATGTCCATGAAATCTTCACAATTTATGTTCAGAGATTGCAGTAAAGACAGGTGTAAGAAATTATAAAAGTATTAATTTGGGGAACTAATAAATGTCCATGAAATCTTCACAATTTATGTTCTTCTGCCATTGCCTCAGCTGGTCCCTCCGTTCGGGGTCCCTGACTTCCCATAACACATGTTGAGACATAATCCTCAATGCAACCGTATTGGGAGGCAGGGTCTTTCAGGAGGTGTTTGGATCATGAGGGCCCCATTCTCAAGAATGGGTTAATGCAGTTATAAATGGGTTTGTCAGAGGAAGTTCATTCCTTTTGCCCTTCTGCCTTCTACCATGTGATGACACAGCAAGAAGGCCCTCATCAGACACCAGCCTTGGTCTTCCCAGCCTCCAGAACTGTGACCTTGAACTTCCCAGCCTCCAGAACTGTGAGAAAATAAATTTCTGTTCTTTATAAATTATCCAGTCTGTGATATTTTGTTATAGCAACACAAATGGACTAAGAGACCTGAGGAAGCTCATTTGACCCTTCCACCTTGTGAAAACACAGCTAGAAGGCACAATCTATGAAACAGAAATTAAGCCCCCACCACAAAGGAAATCAGCAGTCACCTTGATCTTGGACTTTCCAGACTTCAGAACTATGGGAAATACATTTCTGCTGTTTACAAACCACCTAGTTTATGGTTGTTGTTATGGCAGCCTGAACAGACTAAAACAGCTGGTCAGGTTTGAATTCCTTTTTCAAATATTCTCTCCCATGCCTTTATAATTTTATCCTCTCTTATGTAATAGTGCACCATGTCAAACACTTCACTTAAATACTAATGAGGCAAGAGAGTAGAGTCTGGGGGCAGGGAACCTAAGGTCTTCCCAGAACTAAATCAAACAGATAATCCCCAACTTTCTAAGATCAAGTCAGCTATGACAGGAAGCATCCTCTTTATTTGCAGAAGGTGTACACAAAGTAAATCACTTTGTAACTTCACTTCAGCCTCTTCATTTACATAGGGTATACACCAAGTAACCAGTGGGAAAGCTCTAGAGGATATTTAAACCTCAGAAAATTCTGTAACCAGGCCCTTGAACCACTTGCTCAGGCCTACTCCTGCCCTGTGGAGTGTGCTTTCCTTTTGAATAAATCTCTGCTTTTGTGGCTTCATTCTTTCCTTGCTTCATTTGTGCATTTTGTCCAATTCTTTATTCAAAATGCCAAAGAACCTGGACACCATCCACCAGTCACACTAAGTAAAGCTTAATTAAGTTTTTCTTTCCATCACATAACATTTTCTCACAAATAATTTTCCAAAAATCTGATACTCTGATCTAATAATTGATACTTTCTGAAGGAAATGGTAAGAACCAATATAATACTGATTTTCTTGCTAACTGAAATGGGAAGACCAAGCAAAACAAGATACTAGTGAAAACTATACACTTTGAGGCCAGGTGCAGTGGCTCACACCTATAATCCCAGCACTTTGGGTGGTTGAGGCAGTTGGATCACCTGAGGTCAGGAGTTTGAGACCAGCCTGGCCAACATGGTGAAACCCTGCCTCTACTAAAAGAAATACAAAAATTAGCCAGGTGTGGTGGCACATGCCTGTAATTCCAGCTACTTGGGTGGCTGAGGCAGGAGAATCACTTGAACCTGGGAGGCAGAGGTTGCAGTAAGCTGAGATCATGCCACTGCACTTCAGCCTGGGTGAAAGAGCAAGACTCCATCTCAACAAAAAAAAAGCTATACACTTTGGAAATCAGCAGTTAAGTTGTCTCTGAAGGGAGCCTAATCTTCAGTTTATATAGAAACAATTATACAGAAACAAAAGTAACATTTGAAAAAGTAGAAAAATGAACAAAAATAATAAGTGTATATGGACAAAAGAGTTAATACTCTCTATCTCAGAACAGGAGCAAAGATAAATGAGATATATGTGAAGTTGCTTTATAAAGTTCTAAACAGATGTTAGTTACCCACCTCGCACATTAGAAGTGCTCAACAAAACTTTTTGAATGAGTGACTGCTAGTTAACTAAATAATTAATTAAAATAAATGCTGAGTGAACCAGGGACATGAAAGACAAGAGGGTACTGTACTGAAGGAAAATATGGGACTGATTTTCTCAGTTCTTTTGAACGGTAAGATCATTACTTCCATTCTAACTGCTTTTCAGCCAACTCTCCTGACAACATCACCTTTATACTCATAATATTACCTATGCAATTAAGTTAGAAGAGCCAAGAAGTTATATTCGTATTTTACATTATTCAAAGGGATTAAAGTTAATTGACTTAATTATTTATATCAGCATAATGACATCTCTACTTGGAGTTTTTTCATGTGGAGATCTCAAAACACTTTACAAACCATTAGTGAGCAGTATCTCCATTTTAAATAGTAAGAAGCAGAGGCACATTTAATTCTAATGAAATTTTTCCAGTAGATGAAGACAGATCTTTGCTCTGAATTTAACCCATTAAAATGCAGTTGCCCACAGCATTTCAAGTCAATATTAAATGAAACACTGCAAATTATAAAAAATTCTTCTTTCTAAGTTGCAACAGGGTGTCATTCCTCCTTAGCAGTATACGTCAGAGGACAACAGAAAGAAAACTCACAAAAGAATATTTGTGGAGCTTTGGGGTGGTTAAGGGCAAGGGCTATGAGCCAGGTAGATCCGGGTTTAAATTGTAGGATTAACCTTATTAGCTTTGTGACTTGGACAAGCTATTTTTATGTCTCATTTTCCTCATCTATATGATAAATACAGTGGCAGTAGTTTCCTCATAGGATCAAACTAAGTAGCAAAGTGTCTGGCACATGGTAAGCACTCAATATAGTGTACCTATTAGCTGAGTGCAGTGGCTCATGCCCATAATTCTAGCACTTTGGGAGGTCAAGATGGGAGGATCACTTGAGGCCAGGAGTTTGAGACCAGCCTGGTCAACATAGCGAGACCTGATCTTGAAAAACAAAAATAAGAAATGTCATGTACCTGTAAGAGTTAAAGAAAGAGGAAAGAAACACGAAATGCAACTGAACAGTCAAGGACAAGTTTATTTTAGAGAAATCAACCTGATGGGGGCTTCTGGCTGATTTCGGTCAGGAGCATTCTGTCTTACAGACTAAGAGTATATATTGGTTTTTGGGTGAGGGGGCTTATCACAAGCTTGGCATGTTTCTGTGTCAGGGAGAAGTTTATGGTGGGGTTGCAATGCCTTTGGGTGGAGGGAATGTTATCTTGGGGCTGGCATGTCTGTGGTTGGGGAGGGGTTTGGAATGTTTCTGGTCAGAGATATTTGTGGTTTATGGGATTTAGGCAGGTTTTGATCGAGGTGAATTTTAAAATGACAGTGCTTGTCGAAGATGGTGATACTCCTGCTGTATCAGTACCTATTATCATCATCATTGTCATCAGTTAATTTTATGTATCAACTTGGAGGGCATTTATGGATGAGATTCACATTTAAATCAGTGACCTTTGAGTAAGCAGATTGCCCTCCATAATTTGAGTGGGTCTCATCCAATCAGTTGAAGGCCTAAATAGAACAAAATACCAGCCTCCCCATGCATGAGAGAATTTTCCAGCAGAGGCCAGGCACAGTGGCTCAAACCTGTAATCCCAGCACTTTGGGAGGCCAAGGCAGTTAGATCACTTGAGGTCGGGAGTTTGAGACTAGCCTGGTCAACATGGTGAAACCCCGTCTCTACTAAAAATACAAAAATTAGCCAGATGTGGTGGTGTGCACCTGTAATCCAAGCTACTTGGGAGGCTGAGGCAGAAGAATTGCTTAAACCCAGGAGACAGAGGTTGCAGTGAGCCAAGATCATGCCATTGCACTCCAGCCTGGGAGACAGAGACTCCATCTCAAAAAAAAAAAATAAATAAATAAAGGATTTTCCAGCAGATTGCCTTCAGACTTCATCTGCACCATTGAATCTCCTGGGCCTCTGGCCAGCCAGCCTTCAACCCTGAGCTGGAACATAGACTCTCCTGGGACTCGAGCCTGCCAGGCCACACATACTGCAGATTTGGATTTCCCAGCCTCCATAATCACATGAGCCAATCGCTTATAATAAACCTCTTTGGTTCCGTTTCGCTGGAGAACCCTGACTAATACAGTATTATATATAAGCATGAGAACCTAAATTATACAATAAATGTGATGGTGTAAAATTGAGTATTCATATTAGCACTTAGAATAAAAGAGTCTTGAGGGCAAGGATATACCTTTAGTTATTAGCCATTCAATAAATATTCACTAAATGTTTGAAGAGCCCATTAATAACCATGCAAATGTTGTGACATATTTTAAAAGTGCATGTGAACTGATATCATGCCTAAGACATAGCCTTAGGATTGTAATGTTAAAAAGGTGTTAGATGAAGAAGTATTCAAATAACCAGCTATGCCAGATGGCTGAGTGAGTATATGAGCTGCCCCAAATGTCATCCTAGGGAAGAGAATGTCCCAAAGGAACTGAAAGCTAAGGAAGGGATGAATCACATCTGCCGTTGTCATGGATACCGTTCATCTTATCTGTGTGAACTTCAAAACAGAGAGCACTATAGAATAGAGTGGCTAGCTACCTAATTGAGGCTTCATCTGTTACTAAAAGACCTAGTTCAATAGAGGCGTCCTTAATGTTTGATGAGCACTCGAAGTGTAGTTAGCCTTTTGTAAAATGTACAAATATAGACCCTATTCTCCTGTCCAGTTGTTCTCTACTCCACATGCTCGTAGAATTATCTGGGGAACTTTTAAAAATATCTTTGATGGTATCTCATCTCCAGATATTCTGACTTGAGGATATGAGGTGGGATCTGAGCACGGGTATTTTAAAAGCTTCCCAGTTAATGCTAATATTATGCAGCTGTGCTTAAGAACTATTACTCTAGGGCCGGGCAAGGTGGCTCACATCTGTAATCCCAGCACTTTGGGAGGCTGAGGCGGGTGAAGCACTTGAGGTCAGGAGTTTGAGACCAGCCTGGTGAACATGGTGAAACCCTCGTCCCTGCCAAAAATACAAAAATTAGCCAGGAATGGTGGCGTTCACCTGTACTCCCAATTACTCAAGAGGCTGAGGCACCAGAATCACTTGAACCTGGGAGGCAGAGGATGCAGTGAGCCAAGATCACACCACTGCACTCCAGCCTGGGTGACAGAGCAAGACTGTGTCTCAAAAAGAAGACAGAGAACTGTTGCTGTACTTTCCTACAGTCTGTATAATACACAGAAACACATTTCCCCACATAAATCTCCTTCACATATTAACATTGGTCATGATCCTTCATATATACAACTTAAATATTTAAGGAATGAATGTTTGGTTATGACAATTATCTGTCTTAATCCTTGTGTTCTTCCCTATCTTCTAATTATTTTGATGTTCCTCATTTTTCCCTTCCGAGACTCAAGGTAGGAATATGGACAAATGGAAGATAACAGACTTTGTTATTGATAAGAAGCTGGATAGAATAGGAGCTTAGAGCTAATAGTTAAAAGCAATTTTTCTGTTAGCTTGTGAATCTTGAAACAATCACATACAAATCAAAAGTCCAGTAAGAGTCACAGAAAATTAAGTTTTGTATTTTTATTTTATTTTATTTTATTTTATTTTATTTTATTTTATTTTATTTTATTTTATTTTTGAGAGGGAGTCTTACTCTGTTTCCCAGGCTGGAATGCAATGGCACGATCTCAGCTCACTGCAACCTCCACCTCCTGGGTTCAAGATATTTTCCTGCCTCAGCCTCACGAGCAGCCGAAATTACAGGCGCGCACCACGACGCCTGACTAATTTTTGTATTTTAGTAGAGACGGGGCTTCACCGTGTTGGTCAGGCTGGTCTCGAACTCCTGACCTCAAGTGATCTGCTCGCCTCAGCCTCCCAAAGTGCTGGGATTGCAGGCATGAGCCACTGCACCCGGCCATGTTTCACATATTTTTAAGTGGTGATTTATCTGAAAATAAACTAATTTATGAACATACAGGGTTATGAAGCTCTGGAACATCTGAACTTTTAGGAATTTACTAAATTTTCAATCCCATTAAATATTTTTGCAACTGCCACTTTGTTTCTGGAAAGTGAAAATAAATTAAACTAAGGAGTACCAGTCTATTTTGTATGGGTATACCAAAACTAGTCAAAAGTAACCAATCCCTTTAGTATAATATACATAGAAAACAAATGACTTAACATACAAATGTAAATTTTCTAGATCAAAAATTTGAAAAGTATAGCAACTGAAATATTTTCACTAGATATTATGTTGTCTCATTCCACAAATTAAATTTAAGATTCTGAGGCAGCATGTGTGGTCAAAATGAGACAACATTTTCCACAGCCATCGTAATTGAGTAAATAAACATGGAAGTGGGCTAAATAGCTAATTTCAAATACTGCCTTGAGTCTGAAGCATCACTGACCCCATCTAATAGCTGTCTTGCATGTGGCATTTTAGCACCACAGTCCATGCCATTGTAGCATTCCACCCTTTGGGAAACGAGTTATTGGTAGTTCCAGGTGACTGAAACTGCACAACTACTCAAAGAAAGAGGAAGAACTCATGCTGATTTGGTCTCTTCTGGTAACACGGAAAAGTGACTCATTCTGATTTATTTTAAGGGTTTATATAAGATATTAAGGATGATAAAAGTATTAGAGAAATTTATTAACTGGAACCATGATACAACCAGGCTTTACGGGGAGTGGGTCCACCATAGTTCTTTGTGGTTTTTGTTTTTGTTTTTGGGACAGAGTCTCGCTCTGTCGCCCAGGCTGGAGTGCAGTGGCGCAATCTCGGCTCACTGCAAGCTCCGCCTCCCGGGTTCACACCATTCTCCTGCCTCAGCCTCCCGAGTAGCTGGGACTACAGGTCCCCGCCACCACACCTGGCTAATTTTTTTGTGTTTTTTCAGTAGAGACAGGGTTTCACCGTGTTAGCCAGGATGGTCTTGATCTCCTGACCTTGTGATCTGCCCGCCTCAGCCTCCCAAAGTACGTGAGCCACTGCACCTGGCCTGGGTCCACCATAGTTCTAAGAAATACTTCTTCTCTCTATCTCTCTTAAGATTCATGATATCTTTGTAGTGGCATATCTGCTTATTTCTCATGCCTCATTGTTGATTATCTATTGCAATGTACAAACCATGCCAAAATTCAGAGGACTAAGAAAACACCAACAAGATTTGGCAATGATTTCTCTGATATGACACCAAAAGCACAGGCAACAAAAGGAAAAATAGATGAACTGAACTACAACAAAATGTAAAATGTCTGTGCATCAAAGGACACACCAGAGTGAAAAGGCAAATCCATGGAATGAAATAAAACATTTGCAAATCTTAGTATCTATAGGGGCTTAATATCTAGAACATATGAAGAATTCCTACATATCAAGAACCGCAACCTCCCCCAAAAAATCAACCTGATTAAAAAATGGACAAAGGACTTGAATTGTCATTTCTCCAAAGAAAATACACAAATGGCCAATAAGCACATAAAAAGAGGCTCAACATTACTAATCATTAGGGAAATGCAAATCAAAATCACAATGGGATACTACTTCACACTCATTCGATAGCTACCCTCAAAAAACAGAAACAGGAAACAACAAGTGTTAGTGAAGTGATAGAGAAATTTGAGCAATAGTACACTGTAGTGGAAATGTACATCGGTACAGTCACTGTGGAAAACAACCTGGCAACTCCTTAAAAAATCAAAAACAGAATTGCTTTATGATCAAACAAATCAATTTCTGGGTATGTATATCCAAAAATATTGAAAGCAGGGACTCAGGCAGATATTTGTACATCCATGTTTGCAGCAACATTATTCACAAGAGCCAAAAAATGGAAGCAACCCAAGTATCCATCTTTGGATGAATGAATAAACAAAATGTGTTATATTTTTACAATGTGGTATAGGCCAAGAAAAGTGGCTCATGCCTGTAATCCCAACACTTTAAAAGGCCAAGATGGGAGGATTGCTTGAGGCCAGGAGTTCATAACCAGCCTGGGCAATGAAGTGGGACCCTGTCTCTACAAAAAACAATTAGGTGAACCCAGTGGCACATGGCTGTGGTTCCAGCTACTGAGAAGGCTTAGGTGGGAGGATCACTTCAACCAAGGAGGTCAAGGCTGCAATGAGCCATGATTGCACCACTGCACTCCAGCCTGGGTGACAGAGTGAGACCCTGTCTCAAAAAAAAAAAAACGTGTTATATACATACAATGAAGTCTGAAAAAAGAAGGAAATTCCAACACATGCTGCTGCATAGATGAATCTTGAGGACATTGTGCTAAGTGAAATAAGCCAGTCATAAAAAGACAAATACTGTATGATTCCACTTAATGAGGTAACTAGAGTAATCAAATTCATATAGATAGAAATTAGAATGGTAGCTGCCAGGGGTTGGGGGAAGAGGGGAATGGAGAGTTGTTTAATGGGTATAGAATTTCAGTTTCATAAACCAAACAGTTCTGAAGGTGAATAGTAGTAATGGTCACACATCAATGTGAATGTACTGCATGCCACTGAATGGTATACTTTAAACTGGTTCAGATAGTAAATTTTATGTGTATTTCACCACAATTAAAAAATAATAAGAAGTAAAAATAAACAACAGTCATCGATTTTTCCCATGAGCCCACAATTTGGCCAGGCTGGATGCGGATGGCTCGGTTCTGTTCCATGTGGTGTCAGCTAGGGCAGCTCAACTGCATCTGCAGAATCTGCTTTCCAGAGGGCTGACTCACATGCCTGGCAAATCGGTGCTGCCGTTGACTAGGAGTTCATCCCAGGCTGTTGGTGAGAGGCCTTAGTTCTCCACCTCCGTATGTGTCTTCTCATAGAGAAGCATAGCCAATTGGCTTGGTTTCTAGCACAAATATTCAGAGACAGGAATTGAAAGCAAACAATCTCTTGAGATTCCAAAATGGCACAGGGTCACTTCCACTGTATTCTATTGGTCAAGCAACCAAAAAATTAAAAAAAAAAACCCACTCAGATTAACAGGAAAAAGAAATAGTACCCCACTTTTGGGGAAGAAAAAGTGTCAAATAATTTGTAGCTATCTTTTACCTACCACACCATTTAGTTTATTTTTTTCTCTCTGTATTCTAGATGTTTTCTCTCCCTGATAGCTTCTGATTATAACTCAGATAGTGCTGACCTTTCACAGGCCTAAACTTAATTCCTTATACATGGTTCCAAATCCATGTCAAGGGATTCTCTGCATGTAACCTTCAGCTTCAAATCTACTATTAATTGCCTGCTCCTCTCTTTCCTCAATTCATGTCAATGAGAGTAAGAATGTGATTAGCTCAGATCATCATTTCATGCAAAGCCATGCATGTCATAGATAACAAATAATCTAGGCATTGGCTACCATTTGATCAAGTGCTTACAATCCAATATCTGTAGCAAAGGGGGCAGGGTCATAGATATAAAATATGACTTTTTGGCTCATCTTTTTTGCATTTTCTGTGAGTATGGCAATGAAGTGCATGAGTAGAGTTGTTGCAAAGGTTGTGAATGCAGTAGACACCATAGTTCATTTTCCTAGAATAAATGGAGCACTTAGTGGTGCTGAAAATACTTACATAACTATCCACCGCATCTCAGATTATCAATATATTGAAGATATAACTGGTTTAATTGCTTCTGTTTTTTATATATCCTTCCAAAAAACTGGATGTGGCTTTCCTATAACATTTTGTCTCCCTCTTTTCCCCTGAAAACTGCCCTTAAAATTCACTTAATGCATTTCCTCTGAATAAAAATTGTATCATGATTTTCCCTGGAAGCTGCAGTCTGCAAGTGATTAGTCTGGCCCTATCATGTTAACAGAAAAACGGTAGCAATATATATATATATGTTCCTTCCTGATTTCAAAGATGTTCTTGTTGACCAAACATTAGTCAGGTTTCTAAACCTTCTTTTCAAGTAAGCTTTGACTTTGGGCTTCAGTGGACATCATTGATGGGCCTGGATCACCCAATTTCAGCAAGAATCCTGTTAAGTCAGTTCAGAAAGAATCCCCCACCCTCCATTTTTGATCACTCGATAAAATCAAATTTCTTTTCCCAGACATTCCCCCAGGGGATAACTGGACCCCCGCCCAGCCTGCCTTCGGCAAGAATCTTGTCAAGTCAGTTTAACCAGAATCCCCCTTTACCCCAATATTTCCTCTTAGTAATTTTCCTTTCAATGACCCCACCCTGCTCCTTGACTATAAATCCTCACTTGTCCTTGCTGTATTCAGAATTGAGTCTAGTTCTATACTTAGGTCTCTTTTCTCCTATTGCAATAGTTCCTGAATAAAATCTGGTTTTATCACTTTACTGTGAAGCTCTGGTTTTTCTTTAACTTGGTTTATTTGGCTTTATGCATTACATTTTATTTCTTATTTTCCCCTTTACCTATTCTCATTTAGGAGATTTAATCTGACAAACAGACTTCAGACAGAATATCTTTAAAAGGGGGAAATCTTAAAAAGAAAAATGTTTTCTGATGTAGATGATTTATAGAGGAATAAGAAACCTCAAGGACAAGGCTGACAGGAGACTAGAAAAGTGACTGAAGGCATCAAACAGAGTTACATTATAAAGAACTTCAGACTTTCATCAAATACAGTGTGTGTGTGTGTGTGTGTGTGTGTGTGTGTGTGTGTGTGTGTGTGTTTAGCATAAACCTAATATGCTCCAGAAGCCTCAAGTGCCAGCTGAAATGACATTTTCAGATTTTCAAGTATACAAAGAGGTAAGATAACCATCTCATATAGTTTGGCTGTGTCTCCACCCAAATCTCATCTTGAATTGTAGCTCCCATAATCCCCCACATGTAGTGGGAGGGACCTGGTGGGAGGTAATTGAATCATGAGGGCAGGTTTTGCCCATGCTGTTCTTGTGATAGTGAGTAAGTCTCATGAGATCTGACCATTATTACTATTAATTTTTTTGAGACAGAGTCTTGCTCTGTGTCTCAAGCTAGAGGGCAGTGGCAGGATCTCAGCTCACTGAAACTACTGCCTCCCGGGCAGTAGTGATTCTCCTGCCTCAGCCTCCTGAGTAGCTGAGATTACAGGCATGTGCCACCATGCCCAGCTAATTTTTGTATTTTTGTAGAGCCAGGGTGTCACCACATTGACCAGGCTAGTCTTGAACTCCTGACCTCAGGTGATCCACCTGCTTCAGCCTCCTAAAGTGCTGAAGGTGTGAGCCACTGCGCCCAGCCTAGATCTGATTTTTTTATAAACAGGCAGTTCCCCTGCACAGCCTCCGTTGCCCACTGCCATGTAAGACATGCCTTTGCTCCTCCTTCACCTTCTGCCATGTTTGTGAGGCCTCCCCAGCTGTGTGGAACTGTGAGTCCATTAAACCTCTTTCCTTCATAAATTACCCAGTTCCAGATATTTCTTTATTAGCAGCGTGAGAACAGACTAATACACTGTCATGCTCATCCATGTGCCTGCCTGTTTTCCCTGGTGATGCAGAAAAGTAAGTTTCCAAGGTATCCACACTACCCTCTCTCCATTTTCCCCATCGAAGCCAGAGTGATGTTTTTAGAATTCATTAGATTATGTATCTCTCCTTGCTTAAAACTCCCCAATGGCTTCAATTACAATGAAAATAAAAGACTAATTCCTTGCAATGGCTCCCAAGGCCCCCATGATTTGGCCCTTGCCTGAATCTCCAACCTGATTTTCTACTATTCACTTCCTTAATCCAGCCACACCACTATTTTCTTGGATTTTCACACCCCTTATTTTCCTTATTTTTAAACCTCAGCCTTAATGCCATTTGCTCAAAAAGCTTTCTCTGGTACTCCATCAAAAGTAGTCCCAGTCACGCTATGCTTGTACTAGTATTTTTATAACACTTATTGCTACCAGAGTTATCATATACTTATATGTTCTTTGGTTATTGTCTTCACCTATTAGCTCCATAGTAGCCAAGATTTTATTTCTTGAATTATCAGTCACTAGACCATTACCAAGCATATCAGAAGTTCTTAATAAATATTTGCTGAACATATGGATGATGAATGTCATCTTTCACAAATACCAAGCTTTCCAATAGAAAGCTCTTTCTGCCAGGTATATAAACCTCTAACAACTCAATATATCAGTACTGATAAATGGTTCTCATCTTCCAATGTGCTAAGCTGCAGTATAAAGAGACTCAAAAAACACTCTAATGGCTTTCTAGAGACTGACCCTTATCAACACTGATGTGTAGGTTCAACTTAAACATATTTATAAATAATGCCCTGATTTGTTACTGTTAAGGGCTAAAATGCAAATTTACCTTTCTTAATTGGCCCACCCAGATGGAATAGTAATGAAAACTGCAAACAAGCATATAGTCAAGTAAATCAATGAAAAGAGAGAACCATTTTGAAAAATGCAATATAGGGAATGCACCAATCATAACTCTGATGTGTTATTATAAAAAGCATGGAAAACCAAAATAATGTCTTTGATATTAATGCCCATGCCAAAAGAATTTAAACACTTGTAGTAATAGTATTCATTTAGAAGATTCCAGGGGTCAGTGACTTAGGAAACAAAATCCTTAGAAAGCCAGCTAATATCGCAGAAATCATGAGGATCAGATACATTTTCTAAATGGCATATTTAAAGTTCTTAATTTATGGGATAGACCAGCTAGGATGTAAGTAAAGGAAATGCACAAAACATAAGCTACATATCTTATATAATGATATTTAAAATACTGTCTGACAGGAATAGTGGAATTTTAATATGCTCTAAAGAGAAACTTTACAGGTACAGCATAAATTATGGCAGCCATATCTTGTATAAGCATTCATCATGTTTATGGTAGAGCAATCCATTCTATTTCATGCCTAAAAGGGTGACCCACATTTTCTGCATAACAACCTAATCTTCTCCACAGGAGATAAGAGGAATAAAAATTAGCATAGAGCATCTGTTCCCAACATTTGGAAGTCATGGCTTATACCAATGCTCAGCTGATTACAACTGAGATATTATAATGTGTGAACATCCATTTTTCTGCTGTGATAAATTTCAAAATCAAAATTTCATGGCTAGTAAAAAAATGATAAAAACGTGTGGGCATAAACATAAAAAAGAAACATAATTTCAATGCTAGTAATAATGCTGCCTTGGGAAAGAAAATTGCACCTACAATAAAGATTCTATAGTATGTGTATTTTTGTCTTTCTGCTATGATGAATTTCAAAACAAAAATTTCATAGTTAATGAAAAATGGTGAAATCAACATGTGCAGGTATAAACATAACTCCAATGCTAGTAATCTTAACTTGGGAGAGACAATAGTAATTGGTGCAATCTCTTTTCTATGATTATGAAATCAAAAAAATCTTCCTAGTTCTTTAAATATACATTATGAGATCTCTTAGCAAGTCACAATATACTGGTCCCTGAGATACCACAGGCCAAAGTGAGGAGACATCGTAACCATTAAAGTGGCCACGGCTATTTACAGTCATTGTCTGGTATCAAGAATTTCTTCAGAAAACAGAAAGTGATCAAATGTATATGAACTTAAGGAGAATATCTAAAACAATTTTATCTTATAGGTCTGAAGTCACACAAGGCCTGGTTCCATCTGCTACTGCCTTTCAGGTTCTCCACTTTGATCCAGACTCAGACTCTCATTTATTATCCTTTCAACAAGTATGTACGGAGTACCTCGTAAGTTCCAGACATGGTAGAGCAGTGCCCTCATAAAATTTACATTCCATGGGAGAGAGACAGACAATAAACAAATAAATATATTACACAATATATTACATATACTTATACATGCTATTGGAGAGAAGATATCAAATAAGAGAGATGGAAGGAAGGCTATAGGAGATATAAAGCAATTTTAAATAAGGTGGCTGGAGATGGCCTCACTGACAAGGTGACATTTGAAAATAATTAAGATGATAAGGGATCCAGCTATGTGGGTATCTGAGATAAGTGTGCTCGAGGCAGAAGTGAAAGCATGCCTGAACTGTTTTAGAAACACCAAGGAGGTTGCTGTGGCCAGATAGAGGGACAGGGGAGAAGACTACTGCAAAATGAGGCAGCTGAGATTATAGGAACCAGACCATGTGGGCCATTGAAGTCCAATATTAAATTTTGTTGGGCAATTTGGAGGTTGACATTATAATTATTTTTGTTTTTTTGAGGCCAGATCTCACCATCACCGAGGCTGAAGTACAGTGGTGAGATCTCAGTTCACTGCAACCTTCACCTCCCAGGTTCAAGTGATCCTCCCACCTCAGCCTCCCGAGTAGATGGGACCACAGGCACATGCCACCATTCATGGTTAATTTTTGTATCTTTGGTAGAGATGGGATGTCACCTTGTTGCCCAGGCTGATCTCGAACTCCTGAGCTTAAGCAATTCCACTCGCCTCCGCCCCACAAAATGCTGCAATTACGGGCATAAGCCACCATGCCTCTCCATCACAAATATTTAAAACTGCAACTCACTGGCTACCCCCATACACATTCCAGATGCCTCTTACTCTGCATAATTGTATTCCACTGCACTTACCATATCATTGTCTTACATACTTTTTTAACTTATACATCGTTTGCTATTTATTGTCTTTCTCTCCCGATTACAACTTAAGTTCCACAGAGGTAGAATTTTTGTCCTTTTTTTTTTCTATTCTGTTTATTAGTGTGTCCTAAGTGTCTGGCACACGGTAGGCCTTCAATAAGTAAATATTTGTCGAATAAATAACTTTTGTTTTATAATAAGTTTACTTTGAGGCAAAGTTGAAAAGGAAGAGAAGAATCAGACCATTTAAACATAGGAGAAACTTCCCAGTGGCCAAGCTAAGAAAAAAAAAAAAATCAGCAGCTAGAAACTTTAAGGACAAAGCAGAAATATCACATGCTGCATACCACAGGGGAGACAAAGTGTGTAGTATTGAATCCAGGTAAAGTAACTTGTCTACTAGAATAAAAACCCAACAATCTTCTGAAAAAAACAGAATACAGTCACTACAACAAATTACCTGCAATGTCCAGTTTTCAACCAAAAGTTAATGAACATGCAAAGAAACAGGAAAATATGTCCATACATGGGAAGGGGTGGGGGCAGCGGCAGAAAGCGATCAATACAATCAAGCCACATATTTAATCTGAAATTTTACTCTTTAAACCACTCTAAAGTTTTGACTAACTCAAAACAAAAGGTTTTGTGAAGCAATTATGAGCTAGTCAAAACTTAACAAAAGTGGTTCAAAGAGTAAAATTTCTCTTAAACACGTATTTTTTATTACTATGAAGCTATATTTATGAAACTGTGTGGGTGCTATCCTTTCAATAATAACAATTTATGTACCTACTACCACTATCCTGCCATCACTAAAAACATTTTGATTATCTATCTTTTAAAATTTCCTATAATCCCAGCATTTTGGGAGACCAAGGTGGGAGGATCCCTGAGCCCAGAAGTTTGAAACCAGCTTGGGTAATGAAGTCAGGCTCCATCCCCCAAAACAATTTTTTTTTTAATTAGACGAATGTGGTGGCATGCATCTGTAATCCCACCTACTTAAGGCTGAGGCTAGGAGGTTGAAGCTGCAGCAAGCCATGATCAAGCGAATAATTAAGATGATAAGGGATCCAGCTATGTGGGTACCTGAGATAAGTATGTTCCAGGCAGAAGTGAAAGCATGCCTGGACTGTTCTAGAAACACCAAGGAGGTCGGTGCACTCCAGCCTGGGCAACAAAACAAGGCCCGATCTCAAAAAAAATAAATAAAATAAAATCTCCTATAACAAATTCTTGCTAAAATCTTCATTAAAAAGCATCCAAAGATTATGCAGATACAAATCTGAGAAATAAAATGAATAATACGGTTGAATAATACTTTGGAATTTTTGATTATTCGGAAACAAGTGAATAATATGTAACAATTGTGTATATGATAAAAGTGGCCATATATTTCAACTCTGAAGAAACAATGTATTCTTTCATAAATTCAGTTAAAGCATCTCAATAGTTACTCTTTAAAAAAAAAAAAAAATGAGTTCTCTACACCAAACCAGAAACACACAGACACACTCCAAATAGCCAGATGGGACAGAATTTAACGTAAAAATTGAAACCCTAAAAAGATCAAAGAAAAACATACTGAATTTGTACATAATCTTGTGAGTAGGTTGGCCTTTCTTACCATGATATTAAAACATGATATCAAAAGCACAATGCGTAAAGCAAAATTGACAGATTTAACGCTTAAATTTTTTACTATATAAAATATAAGAACTTTTTGCCCAGAAAATAGTACTAAAAGTCAAAAAAGGGAATTATTTGCAACAAATATGGCCAAGAAGGAGTTAGTATTCTTTTTTTTTTTTTCCCTAGGGACTGGGTCTCTCTATGTTGCCCAGACTGGACTAAAACTCCTGGGCTCAAGGAACCCTCCCACCTCAGTCTCCTGAGTAGCTGGGACCACAGGCATACACCACTGCACCCAGCTTAATAGTTGATATTCTTAAAAAAGAAAAAAACTATCCTAAGTCAATAAAAATATAAATACCCCCAAAACTATTCTAAATCAATACAAATGTAAATATTGCAACAAATAATCAGACAAAGGGCATGAAGATGCAAGACACAAAAGAAGTAGTATAGCTAATCAAGAATTATATGAGAAAAACATCAATCTCACTAATAATTAGAGAAATTTATATTAAAACAATTGACGGAAGTCTTTACTAATCTACTTGGCAAAGTTTTTTTTTTAATAATACACAGTAATCCAAAGAATATGGGGACTTAGAGGCCCATATACATTGCTATTAAATAAAAATTAATACAACCTTTCTAGAGAAGTTCTGATGGAATTGTATTTTCATTTATAAAATTACTCCAATTGCAGTATGATTAGAGAATAACAGAATATGCCACTTGGAGACTTTTGGTTATTGAGATGAAAAACAATTACTTGGCCTACCTAGGGTGGTGGCAGTGGAAATGAGAGACAAAGATGGATCGGGGAGTTATTTAGATGGTGGGAATGATAGAATTAATGATTGATCAAGAAGCAGGGGGTAATAAAGAGGAAGGCGTCAAGAAGAACTTCCAGGCTTCTGGCTTAAGTCTCTGGATAAGTAGGGATACCGTTTAGTGAAATATAAGACTGTAGAAGAGAAGAGGGTTTATTGGGGGAAACTATGACTTCCCTTTTAAGAAGATGGAATTTTAAGTGCTCTAGGGAAAGAAATTAACATCTGTTAATTTGTTATTTTGGTTTAGGTTTAGTTTGGTTTGGTTTCTGACTACCTAACATCAATTTCTTACTTCTTATAACATCTGGGGTTTTCTCTACATCAGTAGACAAAATCCATTACAATCGTCATCAAAAACCTGCCTCACTAATTACAGAGGAGGCAGGTGATCCTAGGGAGGGCAATCAGATACCATTCAAGCATGTGAATCTTTAATGGAGAGACTAAAATGTAGCAGAGTTCTTGCTACAGAATAATTGCATCATTTATCCTCTTAATTCTTGCCTAGTTCCAAGTTCTGTGAATTCTAACATCCTGCCAATAACTTGCCTCTTGATTAAGTGAGCCATAGTTTCTGTTGCTTGCAATCAAAGAATGTAAATAATACAATATCTATAGTAAGATAAGAGCATCTGTCATTCAGGAAGATATTTGGTCAAACAATGGATTTAGTGAAAAGATGGTAATTGAGGGCATGACTGGCAGGGAATCGGGGGTGGGTCAGGATCCTTATATGGAGAATATATAGAATGAACATAAAGCACACCTATATATGAGAACTCAGGTATATGAATGGTGTCAAGCAGGTGAAGAGGAGCCAGCAGAATAAAACTAGAAGAAACAGTCAGAATAATAATAGGAAAATCAACAGAGTGTGGTAGCATGAAAGCCCAAGAAGCCTATAGCAATAATAATAAATGTAAGTAAACACTTTTAAAGGATGTTTATTGTAACATTATCTGTGTTAGCAAAACATTAGAAACAACCTATGTGTCCAGCTTAAATAATTTAGAAGATAGCCTAATTGTGGGATTCCATGCCTGTCATTGAAAATGATGTAAATGTATACTTAAGTGCATTCTTACTCTGTAAACACTATATAAATGTTACTCTTACTTTGGAAAATTGAATATTCTCCATTAGGCTCAAGCATACAAGAAAATTTCACTTGCTTTTCCCTTGGGAAATAGACTTCTGGTAAAATAAATGCAAGTAATGATTTTACTAAAAATTAAGATATATTTACTTCTACAGTTTAATAGAATCGATAAAAAAAAGACTTTACAAAGTACTTATTGTGTGTTTACCATAGTGCCAGAGTCTGACAGATACCAAGCAATACAAGATAAAGTCTATGCTTGCAATGAAATTGTACAAATACTTACAAGTAGTTAAAGAACTGAAGTTATATATTGAGAAACGATGACGAATTTGCCAGTTGGATATGAGATGTCAAGGTGTTTCAGCAGAGAAAATTACTTCTTCAAAGATCCAAGAAGAGAAAGAACACGACAGGTTCAGGAAAATCTAATTAATTTTTGCATAAGGGTTATGTAGAAGAGGAGCTATACGTGGGAATGTGTTAGTTTGGGTCCCTAGAAAAGCAGACGCAAGATAGGAATAGACATGCAGGAGATGTATTTGGGGATGGGGGAACTGCAATGGTGGATAAAGGAAAGAGAGCCAGAGAAAGTGGGAAGAGTTTTCAGACCATGATGCAGATCTGACACCTGTGAAGGAGAGGGGGAAGTAAGTAGAGTCTCAGACAGCAGCTCTAAGAAAGACTCAGCCATTCCCACAGGGAGTCCACAAGTCAAAGTCACCTGTTAAGGGGGTCTTGCATCTCATAACGATGGGCCCACATTCGTATCTCCACCATGCTCAGTCATTAGCTGGCAGCAGCCTGTGGGAACTGTGGGCTAGTGTGAACACAGGACCAGGTCCAGAAGTGCAGCATCTAGAGTTCTTAGTGGATTTTTCTCCATGCAGCAGGAGATTTGACAGGTGCATTTTTATGGCCACCGAAGTCCATGCCTTGCGACATACAGATATACTTCTCTACTTAGCATTGAACCTTTCTTTCTGACAGGAAGCTTTGAAGAGAGAGGCTGGTGGGAAGAATTGTCACTGCAGTTAGTCTCAGTGCCACAACTGCTCCTCATCCTCTCCTTTCTCTATTATCCATTTTAAATTTCTCTCTCCCTCAGCTGTCAACTGAGTAGGTCATGGTGATTTATCCAAACCCTCATTCCTGAGAGGTGTAATTCATTGGCAATCATTCTTTTCAGGCTTGTCCAAAAAGAATATCCATTCACAGTTACAATGGAGCAACACAATACCTGAAGTTGCCCAAGAAGATCACTAATGACTGAGCATGCAGGATCCCTTCCTTACACCTTACACAAAAATTAATGCAAGATGGATTAAAGACTTAAATGTTAGACCTAAAACCATAAAAACCCTAGAAGAAAACGTAGGCAATACCATTCAGGACATAGGCATGGGCAAGGACTTCATGTCTAAAACACCAAAAGCAATGGCAACAAAAGCCAAAATTGACAAATGGGATCTAATTAAACTAAAGAGCTTATGCACAGCAAAAGAAACTACCATCAGAGTGAACAGGCAACCTACAGAATGGGAGAAAATGTTTGCAATCTATCCATCTGACAAAGGGCTAATATCCAGCATCTACAAAGAACTCAAGCAAATTTACAAGAAAAAAACGAACAACCCCATCAACAAGTGGGCAAAGGATATGAACAGACACTTCTCAAAAGAAGACATTTATGCAGCCAAAAGACACACGCAAAAATGCTCATCGTCACTGGCCATCAGAGAAATGCAAATCAAAACCATGATGAGATACCATCTCACACCAGTTAGAATGGCAATCATTAAAAAGTCAGGAAACAACAGGTGCTGGAGAGGATGTGGAGAAATAGGAACACTTTGACACTGTTGGTGGGACTGTAAACTAGTTCAACCATTGTGGAAGACAGTGTGGCGATTCCTCAAGGATCTAGAACTAGAAATACCATTTGACCCAGCCATCCCATTACTGGGTATATACCCAAAGGATTATAAATCATGCTGCTATAAAGACACACGCACATGTATGTTTATTGCGGCACTATTCACAATAGCAAAGACTTGGAACCAACCCAAATGTCCAACAATGATAGACTGGATTAAGAAAATGTGGCACATATACACCATGGAATACTATGCAGCCATGAAGAAAGATGAGTTCATGGCCTTTGTAGGGACATGGATGAAGCTGGAAACCATCATTCTCAGCAAACTATCACAAGGACAAACAACCAAACACCACATGTTCTCACTCATAAGTGGGAATTGAACAATGAGAACACTTGGACACAAGAAGGGGAACATCACACACCGGGGCCTGTCATGGGGTGGGAGGAGGAGGGAGGGATAGCATTAGGAGATATACCTACTGCTAAATGACGAGTTAATGGGTGCAGCACACCCACATGGCACACGTATACATATGTAACAAACCTGCACGTTATGCACATGTACCCTAAAACTTAAAGTATAATTTTAAAAAAAAGTTAAAGAAAAAAGAAAATCTTAGGCAAGCCAGATGCTATGGCTCATGCCTGTAACCCCAACATTTTGGGAGGCCAAGGTAGGAGTATTGCTTGAGGCCAGGAGTTCAAGACCAGCCTGGGCAAAATAGCGATATCCCATCTCTACAAAAAATAAAAATAAAAAATTATCTGGGTGTGGTTGTGCGTTCCTGTATTTTCAGCTACACGGGAGGCTGAAGCAAGAGAATCACTTGAGCCCAGGAGCTGGAGGTTATAGCGAGCCAAGATTATGTCACTATGCTCCAGCCTAGGTGACAGAGCAAGTCTCTCTAATTTTGGAAAAAAAAAAAAGAAAGAAAGAAAAGAAAAAGAAAATCTTAGCCAGGCTGAGTTCAGCGGAGTCCTCCAGCCAGAATCACCTGTTTAAGGCATACTGTCTTATAAAAATAAGCCTGCATTAGAATCTCTGTTGTACTCAGACTGGCTGAGAAAACCCTGTGGGAATCATGGCGTCTACAAGAACACAAGAGTGGATCCAGAGGACATTATCTGGGGCCATCAGTCAATTACACTCTCTGCAGTAGGAAACCTGAGTGCTGCATTTTCATGACCACAAATGGGGGCAGCTAAAAATGAGGCCACAATGTACGCAAGGGTCCGATAATAAAGTGCTTTGTATGCAATGCTACCAAACTTGAATTTATTCTGTAGGCCCTATAGTGTAAGAAAGGGTTTGGAAAGAAGATAACAGAGTCAAGAGATATAGCTATGAGGTAGAATTAACTGGACATGATGGTAAATTAGATTTCACAAGAGAGAGCTTTGAGTCCCAGTTTTCTGTCTTGGGAAATACATTGTACATGTTGCATGAAGTCAATATTTTGGGGGCAAGATGAACTGAAATTCATCTCTCACTATCAGGAGAAAAGTTATATTATCCTTCCAATCAACTGGGCTTAAAACACTGGTTTTGTTTCTGACTCAAGTCCAGTATTATTAAATACCTACATAAATAATACACCATCTGGGCCTTCCAAGGGCTTATTCCCTTAGCACAAAGATAATAGTGAACATTACTGTTCCCTAAAGCTTAGTACTGGAGTCATTTTAATAGGAAAAATCTAAATTCTTCATGTTGAGAATAGATTGATTTTCAGAAAAAAGATAAGATAGATAAAGTACGCTGGGTGCAGTGGCTCATGCCTGTAATCCTAGCACTTTGGAAGGCCAAGGCAGGTGGCTTGCCTGAGCTCAGGAGTTCGAGACCAGCCTGGGCAACACGGTGAAACCCCGTCTCTACTAAAATACAAAAAATTAGCCGGGTGTGGTGGCATGTGCCTGTAGTCCCAGCTACTTGGGAGGCTGAGGCAGGAGAATTGCTTGAACCCGGGAGGCAGAGGTTGCAGTGAGCCAAGATCACACCACTGCACTCCAGCCTGGGTGACAGAGAGAGACTCTGTCTCCAAAATAAATAAATAAATAAATAAAATATTAAATAAAATGTTTTAAATAAAACTTTTTTTTAAAAAAAAAAGATAAAGTATTTCTGTGTTTAGGCACACTCAGGAAGAATGCTTCAGCCATTGTTGGTGGACAGCCTGAAGCAAAGTGAAAGCACCCACCAACTCAACTGCAGCTCAGGAGGACAAGGCTTCCTCCTACCCCTCTTCAGACCAGGAGGCTCTCAGGCAGAAGTAAAGCCCTTGCCACCTGGAGTCTGCAACAGGAGAACTGATAAGAGACATGAAAGCCTCTGGGGCCAGCACTCGGGATTCTCTGTCACTTGGAGGGAGCTGGAGACTCCCCAGGTCAGGACACAAGAAAGGAGAATACTGGACAAGGGGACCGAGGCCAGAAGACTGTGAGAGGAGAGCAAATCGTGAATGAAGGTAAGAACGGGTCTTAAAGGAAGGCTTTGATTTATGTAGAACATAGAAGCATGTGCAATTAATTAAAGTAGAGACACTAGTCTTCCAATTTTATACTGCTTTAGGATATTTATCTGAATGTTCTGTTATTTAAAACAACAACAACAACAACAACAAACTGCCTTACCCTAGATCACAGCACTATGGTGACGGCAAAGGTGGCATTCAAGAAAAGAACAGCATGGCTTCCTGTTTTTCCGTTAGGGGATTATCACCTTGCCCTTTGGCATTAGTGGGTTTATAAAGTTTTCTGTCTACGGAGGGTATTGTGGAATAATCTTCATATTTCTATCATGGGACAAAGGAGAATGACTGTCAGTTTTGGGAATGAAAGTATGGTTTTTGTAGATACTCAGTTAACTACTAATAACTAATCAGACTAAAGTTAGTGTTTTCCAAAGTTCATTTGAATTATAGCTTAGATTTAATTAAAGAAATTAATGCACTCAACTTTTTATTCAACTGTCGCACACCTTGTCTTAAAATAATAATAATTTGTGATTTTTTTCCCCAGAGATTAAAGTAAAAGAACGTGGCTTTACATTATGACAAGAATAATATTCTCAACATTTACATTAAATTTACAAACTAATGAACTGTAAGAAATTTTGATGATACATTATTTCTGAACATTAGTCACATTATTAAAAGTATTAGTTATTTACATTGAGCAATTTTTCTATAGCTACATTTTTTTGCTCCTTGAGAGCAGAAAAGATGTATTCTCTTCCATTCCCCAGCCAGTGCCATGCAAATAGTAGATATTTAATAATGCTGGAATAAATTAGAGATAATGCTGTATTTTAAATATGAATGGTAGAAACAAAGAAAATCAAATTGACAAACAGAAATAGTATGGAAAAATGATTTTAGAGAAGTTGGGTCACCCATAACTGAAAGTCTGAAGACAAAACATTATTCTCTAACCAAATATATTTTTATAAACTCAATAATCGTTCCATTAAGCAACATTTTGTTCATTGGTTTCAGTGATTCTCTAAGCTTACTCTTACAGGACAGGATAGTCATGAGAGCTCAACAAAGATATTATGCTGCTAAAGCGGGATAATGGTAGTCTTTTCACAATTTACATAAGAATGTTACTCAATTGCATAATTTTCTAACTTCAACCTTTCCTGCCATAAATGTATCTCAAATATTTTGCAACTGCAAATCTACTAAAATTACATAAAGTTTATGCCTCTTACTACAGTATCTGAAAACAGTGAGATAGATCATACCAGATTCAGGATGCCTTTGATCCACACCAGTTATTTGAAAAGGAAAAATTTAATATAAAGGAGTATTACATTAATCATAATAAAAAGGAACTCTAATCAATACAGAGATAACAAATGCAAAAAGCAGCTACTTCTGGGACTGAGGAAGAATGAACAATGATGGAACCAAGAATGTAGAAGAAACCAACTGTCCCACCTTCAACCAATGTAGATTCATGCCTTGTTGGGGAGAGTGTGCTTGCTATAGGAACACCAGACTGCCAACAGCATAGAAACTTATCAGAAGGTATATGCTGGAGGGGTTCACAGGAAGTGGCTCACCTGGTGACCAAACTTCTTGGAGGGTTTGGTGGGCCCTATGCTGGTTGTCAAGTGTCACTGAGGTGAGAGCTATGAGAGCTCTGACATGCACATCCGCCAGCAGCCTTGCTGAAGGAAACAGCAAACCTGGCCATCAGGAGCAGCCCCTTTCTCTTGCAGTGGACTTGAAGTGGCCCTCCAGCACCCTTTCTTGACAGAGTCTAATGTTGTACCAGCTGGCAATAAATAAATGTTTACAGGGTCCCTCTTCAGTTCACAAAGCAGAGCAGAGAATGGTAGGTGGAGACTGATGGGCAATAAATTGATAAATGGCACAGTTTGGGAAAGCCTCTTTTAAAATAGAAGGTACAAAACTCACTAAGGAACCTCGAGGGAGCACTTTGAAGGGAAAGGCAGTTTTTTCTCTGGAGTAACTGAGTTTGACATACATTCAAAGAGCCCTGTCTGGAAACTGGGAGAGGAAAGTCATGTGTATTAAAAAAGTGATGGCCAGAAATAGAGATACACAGTGGTGTAAAACAGGAGCTCCAATTTAAAGTCACAAGGGTGGCAGCTCTGAATGAGGATATTGACTTATAAATTTGGGGCTTCTCACTTGCACAACTCCAAATAGAGTATTCCAAGGCAAGGAGTACATAATACTTAGTTCCTTAATGATGACTAACGATTATCATAGGCAATACTAGGTAACACAACCAGTGAATGCAAAACCCCAGGAAAAGATGATGGTGGCTTATTGGTAGCGTATTGGGTGTCAGGGACTGGCTAAGCCTTGTGACAATGAATGGCCAGGAAAACAGTAGAGAAAGTATGTGCTGCTTTATTTTTCATATTTAGTACAGTCAGATCTTCAGTTGACATATTTTAGGTGATATTTTAGAATTAATTATATTAATATTCCATAGCATTCAACAAAATATACTCTAACATCATGTGTTCTACCATATGAACAGATTTATGCCTGTCTGTTCCTAAAATGATAGTATAGAGGTGGGAGGTAGGCCTACCCCTCCCTACCCCCAGGTGAGACTTTGATAAGAATGAGAAAATCAGCTTAAATCTTGACACAAACTTCAGCTATGTGAAAGACATGATTAAACTCATTTCAGTAGAAGTTGCAAGCTACATAAAACTACAGTATTTACAATGCCCTTAACTTGACGCAGTTAAAATTTGAGGCACTTTTGCTGACATCTTATTGTCTATTTGCTGACATCTTACTCTCTACTCTGAGTCACCTTTTATACCTAGCAAATAACTACAATACTCAGTTTTTAATATTTAACTAAGGATTGGAAAAGTCTATGAAGGCTTAGATTTGCATTAATGGGCTTTATTAATTCAAGGAAGCAAAAAACTAATTCAAGTTTACATAGTATAAGTTTACATAACAAATATGTACTTTTGGATCAATAAACCACAGAAGATAATATTGAGCTAATTAATTTGGGTTATTATATCAAGTGTTACATAAAATGTAACTACTATCAAATTGCCAATTAGTCATCTAAATAAATTATTTCAAATTTAGCCTTTATCAAGAATATGGGAAAACTTAGTAGAATTTCAACTCAGCCTAACTTAACTGAAAAGTGAGTTATGTTGATGAATTCATAGGTTACTGATATTTTTATATATTCTAAATTTGTAGTGCTCATTAAAATTTATTGTGGAGCCTGAATGTCTAATACATGTTTTACATTGCATCAGAGGCAGAACTGTTACTGAAATTGCAAAGCGTTATAGCTATTTTTAAAGTAACTTTTCTCTAACAATTTATTTTAATTATTTTGATTTTTTTCTCTCTTGTTTCTTTTGTTCATGCCAAAAACATAACATGCCACTTCAGTTGGGTGGTCCAAATCATTATCTTTGTTTCAGGGTTCATGTACATTATGCATAACAATGTTTGTGTTTTGTGCATAAGGTATTCAAGTTTGTGGCATTCTCATTACAAGTCTCATTCTTTGAGATTTTTACCTTGGTCTATTGGTCAGATCCAGGCACAAATGGTACCTTGACACCTGATTCAATATGTATCACACTTCCTTACCAATCTCCTTTCTCCTTATACCTTAGCCTCACATTAAGGATTATAAAAGAAAGTTAAATTAAAATTTATGAATATTCAATATATCAATGTTTTCAATAAAGCCGTAAAATATGAAACCTATAATATTTCGACTGCTCTATTCTCATAAGTTCTACCTGCTCTTCTCATGGGAATGACCCCCAGAAACAGGCACAGAATCATGTGCCAATGAATATTTAAGTTACCAAATGTTGATTTTTAGAATTTTCCGTCAAATTAAATGTTATTTATTTTAACAAAAGTAAAAATAAAACATGTTCATTGTAGAAAGTTCAGAAAATAAAGATAAGTAGAATGAAGAAAATAAAAATTAACTGTAATCCTACCACTCAGAGACATTGTTGTCAGTCATATAAACTTTTTTCTATAAATTTATCTTTTTTTAAAAGTGGTATCATACTGCATATACACTTTTTATAAATATTGGTTTTAATTTTCAGGTAAAAGTACATAATTTTCTTAGGATCATTGGGTTCCAAGAAACAAAATATTCAAAGAATTTTAGAATAAAAGTGGGATTTACATACAGGTACATGAAGACATGTATTGAGCTCGGACTGTGCATTATCTTGCAACCCCAATGCCCAGTATAATAAACGATTAAGAGAAAATGTGATTGGGATTATTCCTGATTCAAACAGCTATGATTACTGCAGCAGTATCACCTGATATGAAAATGGTTACCAAGCTCACCACTTAAGTAGGAACAGTAATTTAAATGTAAAATAATTATGAATGGGATGAGTGCCCCAAACTTTTCTACTATAGTGTTAGACCTCTTTTGTTGTAATTATATATTCATTACATCAGTTTTATTTTTTTTTTTCTTTTTTAGAGACCAAGTCTCACTATGTTGTCTAGGCTAGACTTGAACTCTTGATTTCAAGTGATCCTCCTGCCTTGGCCTCCCGTGTAGCTGGGCCTGCAGGCATATCCCATTGCGCCTGGCACATTACATTTATTTTTAAGAGTTGCAGAGTATTTCTTCATAATATGGGTAATAATCTGTTTAAATAATTCACTATTTTGGGCATTCATGTTGATTTCAACTTTTGCAATTATACACAAAGCTGTGATGCTTGCAGGTATATCTTTGGGAATGTCTATAACTTTTAGAATTAAATTCTTTAGAAGAAAAATTTCTGGTCAAGGGTATGGCAGAGACTACTAGGTATCCACCAAATTCTGTTTTCTCCTTCCTACACATATGGCTGCCCTACCGATCAACATTTCCCAGCCTTCCATGCAGATAGGTGGTGTGCCCATGTGACTACATTTTTACCAATAGGATATTAGTGGAAGAGATGCATGCCATTTCTAGGCCAGATCCTTACAACACTGGTCATAACTCCTCTGTGTTATTTTTCCTCTTCTTGCCAGCTGGAACTTGGTTGTGGTGGTGACTCAGTTTTGACCTCGCACATGACTATGTAATGCCTCCCAGCTATCCTGGACACAGAGAGATAGAGCAGACAGAAAGAAGTAAACTTCTGTATTATTTAAGTCACTGAATTGTAGAGTCTATTTGTTACATCAGAGAGAAGAATATTTTTAAAGATTTCTTATGTAATTTTTAAAATTGTTGTCCAGAAAGCTTATACCCATTTATATTCCCTTTAGCATTGCACAAAACTTCCATTTTTATTTTTTAATTTATGTTTCTTGCTCATATTGCCCAGGCTGGTCTTGAACTCCTGGGCTCAAGTGATTCTCCCACCTTGGACCCCCAACGTGCTGGGATTGCAGGCATGAGCCACCATGCTTGGCCCCATTTTTATGCATTCTAGTCAACAATGGGGAAATCATATTTTAATCTGTATATTTTTTATTTGAAAACGAATTACTGTGAAATTTGATTATCTGTTCAGTTTTTTTTTTTTTTTTTACCTTTTCTGGTTCCTCATTTATGAAGTTGTAGTTCCTATTCCTTGACCATTTTTCTGCCATAGATTTTTAATAGCTTTCAAAAGGAAGTGTGAGAACTAGATAAAACAAGATGAGCAAAGCATAGATTTCTCTTAAAATTGGATGCTGTCACATGAGGATTTATTATGCTATTCTTACTATTGTTGTGTGTGTTTAAAATTTTCTACAATTAGTTAAAAAGTCTAATTGTATTTCCTAATTCTATTTACTGAAAAAGTCTAAAAGCAATCATTAAACCTAGTACCAGATTGTGATCTCTAAATATCACTCGCCAATAAAACAAACTAGGGCTCCTTAGAAAAAGGGCCAGATTGAGGTTTGGGTCAGGAAATAGATAAGATGAGTCTTGGATATCTTGTTGTAAAAAAGACAAAAGTTTGATAGTGATCAAACTGTAATGGGAGGTTGGGCATGGTGGCTCAGACCTGCAATTCCAGCACTTTGAGAGGTCAAGTTAGAGACTAACCTGGTCAACATAGAAAGACCTTATCTGTAAAAAATGAAAAAGGTAATGGGATTATGTCAAAAGGACATAAGAGCTAATTTGGCCAAAGATGGAATAATTTAAGCATAAAAACAATAATGACTTCAATTGATTGAAAATTATTTTGTAAAAATGCATGAGTCATATGATATTCCAAAAGAAAGAAAGGGAGCCAAAACACAAAAATTAGTAAGAACTCACCAGGAACCATTGAGGGTAATTATAATTAGGGCACTGAACTTTTATTTTTAAAATGGCAATTAAAGAGAAAAAATATAAGCCATTGTCCCATTGATCCTGTGTAATATATTTTCTTTTTTTTTTTTTTTTTTGAAAGGGAGTCTCACTCTGTCACCCCAGACTGGAGTACAGTAATGGATCTCGGCTCACTGCAACCTCCCCCTCCCAAGTTCAAGCGATTCTCATGCCTCAGCCTCCCAAGTAGCTGGGATTACAGGCACATGCCACCATGCCTGGCTAATTTTTTGTATTTTTTAGTAGAGATGGGATTCCACCATGTTGGCCAGGCTGGTGTTGAACTCCTGACCTCAAGTGATCTACCACCCACCTCAGCCTCCCAAAGTACTGGGATTGCAAGCATGAGCCACCGTGCCCAACCATGTATAATATATTTCAAATAATCTTAGTTTGTTCCTGCTGCTATAGCAAAGTACATGAGATTGAGTAATTTATAAAGAACAGAAATTTATTTTCTCACAGTTCTGGAGGCTGTAAAATCCAAGATCAAGGTGCCAGGAGATTTGGTTTCCAGTGAGAGTTGCCCTCTGCTTCCAAAATGTTGCCTCTTGCTGTGTCCTAAAATGGTAGAAGGTTAAAAGGACAAAAAAGAAATGTAAAGCTTCCTTACACCTCTTTTATAAGGTCATAATCCCATTCATGAGAGCACTGCCCTCATTACTTAATCACCTCCTGAAGGCCCCACCTCTTATTACTATTGCAGTATATCAGAAAAGGAATACTTATCTCTTTTGTTACTCAAGAAAAATACATACCCATCTATAAACTCAACTCCTTTAATGTCTTTGATACAAGATAACCAATCAGCTTCACTGTAGTATTAATACAAAAGATTTTCATGATCATGCCACATGGATTGCAATGTTTAGAGCTTGTATTGTAGGTTTAAGTTTTTTAATTTTATGAAATTAACCATGTCAATGACACCCATCAGCATTTTGTACATGTGTGACTTCAGTTTTGCTTTATGTGTTCACATATGATGGAGTGAGTCAATTTGCATTGTACTAGCTCTGAAATCCATCTGTGACCTAGGAGTACTTTTTAAGATTCCAGGCAATGCAACTTGGTTATATACAAAACATTGTTTTCATTAAAGAAGTTGTTTATTATTGAGAGGTATCTTTTCTGGCTCGTATTCTTTAGTGGCTTACACAAAAAGTAGTACTTGATGGACTTCATTATTGAAATAAAATCCAGCAAATACCACACACTTAGACTTTGGAAAAATATTGATACTTTTATGAATAGCATGCCCTCCTTTAATTTGAAATTTGTTCTAAGTTACATTTTGCAACTTCTAACACTTTTTGCTGTAAAAGGAGTGCCTGTTGTTTTGCAGTTATATTGAGTATATTACTTTAGCCTACTGTGACAGGGCAAATAACCACTTTTTGCCTCTTGCAATTAAATAAGAAATGTTAAAGGAAGCACTCAACGTTTTCATTAATTTTTAGTAAAATTTTGTAAAGTACTGGATTGAGTATGACTTCAAACATTGCTGAATCAATTATAGAGTTCATCTTCATGTTTTAGATATTTAGTGTTAAAATAGCTTGATTATCCTTAGCCAATATCTCAAAGGATGCATATACAGCTCACATGATATTTATGAATAATGATAGTGGATGTAAATATATATATATATATTTTTTTTTTTTTTTTTTGAGACGGAGTCTCGCTCTGTCACCCAGGCTGGAGTGCAGTGGCTCAATCTCCACTCACTGCAAGCTCCGCCGCCTGGGTTCACACTATTCTCCTACCTTAGCCTCCTGAGTAGCTGGGATTACAGGTGCGTGCCACCACACCTGACTAATATTTGTATTTTTAGTAGAGACGGGGTTTCACCACGTTGGTCAGGCTGGTCTCGAACTCCTGACCTCGTCATTTGCCCTTCTCGGCCTCCCAAAGTGCTGGGATTACAGGCGTGAGCCACCGTGCCCGGCCAATATATTTTTAAATAGTCTTCTTGATAGCTAAAAATTTGTTTTTGTCCAACTGTTGTTCAGATCATTATTTCATCCTGTAATATTGCTGATGAAAATCTTACCTTTTGGCCAGGTATTATGGTGCATGCCTGTAGTCCCAGCTACCCAAGAGGCTGGGATCAGAAGATTGCATAAGCCCAGGAGTTCAAATCCAGCCTGGACAACATGCCACGACCCCACTTGGGAGGCTGAGTCAGGAGAATCGCTTGAACCCGGGAGGCAGAGGTTGTGGTGAGCCAAGATTGCACCATTGCACTCCAGCCTGGGGAACAAGAGTGAAACTCCATCTCAAAAAAAAAAATAAAATAAAAATAACATTTTGAGTGATAGACGTGTGGGTCTGCTATTTTTTCATTTGTTTGCTTAAACATTGTTAGTCTTAGTTTCTTTTTGGGGTTTTGTTTGTTTGCTTGCTTTTTGAGCTGGAGTCTCACTCTGTTGCCCAGGTTAGAGTGCAATGGCATGGTCTTGGCTCAATGCAACCTCCACCTCCCACGTTCAAGCAATTCTCCTGCCTCAGCCTCCCAAGTAGCTGGGACTACAGGCCTGTGCCACCATATCCTGTTAATTTTTGTATTTTTTAGTAGAGATGGGGTTTCACCATGTTGGCCAGGCTGATCTTAAACTCCTGACCCAGTGATCCGCCTGCCTTGGCCTCCCAAAGTGCTGGGATTACAGGTGTGAGCCACCATGCCCAGCCTCTTTTTTTTTTTTTTTTTTTTTTTTTTTTGGTGACACAGAGTCTTACTCTGTTGCCTAGGCTGAAGTTCAGTGGAGCAATCTCAGCTTACTGTAACCTCCACCTCCCAGATTCAAGTGATTCTCATGCCTCAGCCCCACAAGTAGCTGGGATTACAGACATACACCACCACACCCAGCTACTTTTTGTATTTTTAGTAGAGACAGGGTTTCGCCATGTTGCCCAGGCTGGTCTCAAAATCCTGGCCTCCTGTGATCTGCCCACTTCTGCCACCCAAAGTGCTGGGATTACAGGTGTGATCCACTGCACCCAGCCTAGTGTTAGTTTCAATCAGCATTTTCTGTACAGGAATCTATGTATGTCATTTGTATATTTTGTGAGGAGTAGTTTAGTCAGAAATGGATCATATGAGGCCAGGCACAGTTGTTCAAGCATGTAATCTCAGCACTTTGGGACGCTGAGGCGGATGGATCACTTGAGGTCAGGCGTTCAAGACCAGCGTGGCCAACATGGCGAAACCCCATCTCTACTAAAAATACAAAAAAATTAGCTGGGCATGGTGGTGGATGCCTGTAATCCCAGCTACTCAGGAGGCTGAGGCCAGAGAATCTCTTGAACCTGGGAGGTGGAGGTTGCAGTGAGCTGAGATCATGCCATTGCACTCCAGCGTGGGCAACAGAGCAAGACTCCATCTCCAAAAAAAAGAAAAGAAAAGAAAGAAAGAAAGAAAGAAAGAAAGAAAGAAAGAAAGAAAGAAAGAAAGAAAGAAAGAAAGAAAGAATTGGATCACATGTATAAGAATATAAAGCATCACACTGACAACTCATCAGACCATGAATAAGCAGGAATATCTTTGCATATTTGGTTTAAAAGATAATTTAGAAATTTTACAATCTAAAATAAGCTTTTCTGTTATGGTTTTTGTACTAGATAGATGAATGGGACACAGGAAATATAAGGAAATATAAATTCAATATTCAATATATGTGGAAGTGGTCATTTTCATTAACAATCAAATATAATTATTAAAGCAAAAATGAAGTAGCCATTAAAAATAGTCCTACAATCTATAAATCCTTGTATCTAGGCTCATTTGAACTGCTTATGACACAACACTGAGAGTGAGTAAACAAGAGAGGGTAACTCTGTGAGGCTGCTTGCATTTTGGAGCTCTTAGACATCTCTTCCAGACCTCTCCTGTACCAAATAGGATGGGGAGCATGACCATAGACACTGTTTGATCTTTGAGAGTCAGTCTGTACATTAAATATTAGTAAATTTAACTTGCATCTTATTTTTTTAATGTAAAAATAGAGGTTATCATTGTTTCTTACATCCAGTGACTTTTCTGTGCACTCCTGGATTCTACATTAGACTCTACATGGAGAGTACTGGGGAGTCCCATAAACCTTTCGAATAAAAAGAAAAAAAAACACTTAGGAAAGTTACTTAACCTCTCTGAGCTTCATTTTATTCATCTTTAAGATGGTAATTATAACAATAATAAAGCCATGCTGACAGATTTACTATGAACATCAAATTGAACATTATGTAAAAGCACATTGTAAAACATTATATAACTGTTAGTTAATGGTATCTAATAAACATTTCAGTGAGAGTTATAAACCTGTAGGGTATTGAGATGTAAGATAAGTAAAAGAATTATGTGAGATGATCCGCTTAATGTTACTCGTATAGAAGTTTTATTGTTTCTAAAACTTAAAAAAAATTGACATTAAGATGTCCTGACATTATAATATCATGGAATGCCAAAACATGGCAAATAATAAGTCTTTTCAAAGAAGGTTACTCTGATATGTTCATATGAAATATGTATAGGAGCAGATGAAGCAATAAATAAGGATACTATCTATGTTAAGGCTTCAAAATACCTCCCACTTTGGAAATGCTGCAGGATGGATGTGGTGCCTTTAATTATCCTTGGTCCCATCACTCTAGTTTAAGACATTAATTTAATGAAGTCACAACCAAATTAACTTGTTTGGGTAATGTGGAAAATAATTGTAAACATTCATTTGATCATCTTATTTGTCCATGTACGTTGGATAATGCACACACATTTGGTCCACAATGACCAAATTTAACAGGTAATTCCGAAGTTTAAGTTTTATTTTTACTGCTCTTCTTGCAGTATCTCTCTTAGAGAATTCTTCCACACTCTAAAAATCAGTTATCACTTCCATATAGATTACTACCAAATATTTATTTTTGATCCAATTTTATTCTTAGAATTTTAGTCCTCCATTTTTTTTTTTTTTGAGGGAGTCTCACCCTGTCGCTGGAGCTGGAGTGCAGTGGCATGATCTCAGCTCACCGCAACCTCCACCTCCCTGGTTCAAGTGATTCTCCTTCCTCAGCCTCCTGAGTAGCTAGGACTCAGGTGCATGCCACCATGTCCACTAATTTTTTTTTTTTTTTTTTTTTTGGTAGAGATGGGGTTTCACTATGTTGGCCAGGCTGGTCTCAAACTCCTGACCTCAAGTGATCCGTCCACCTCAACCTCCCAAAGTGTTGGGATTACCAGCGTGAGCCACTGTGCCCAGCCAGTCCCTTATCTTAAACTGTGTGTGGATATTTATGCTCATACATTTCCAAATTTCCTTCAAATTACAGTTTTTATAATCTATTTCCAAACCCTCCCTACTCACCTAGCACCAGGTTTCTCTGATATATGTAATAGAACTAACGATGTTGTTGTCATTCTGACTCTGAATCAGAAAGTCATCTTTCACATGGCTCTCCCTTGCTCTCCAAACTCCAAAATAACAAAAAGTCCAATGATTTTTCCTTAAAAATATTTCTTCCATCACCTTTATTTTACTATTACGGCACTACCACTCTAGTTCAGGCCTTACCTACCTTTTTATGTAAACCTCATCCCTCACCTTCCAACCTCCAATCCCTCCCTAATGCAGTCCTTCTTGCATTCTGCAGAAAGACAAATCTTTCTAAAACATTATTCCTCCCATGTCATTCTCCTGTTACAAAATGTTCAAACTTTCTACTATCTATAGAATAAATACCCAATTCCTAAATCTGGCATTCAATCTGGCATTCAAATTTGACTACATTTAACCTTTCCTAACACATGTATTACAACTTTCAACCAAGCTGGAGAATTGTCTTCATTCTAAATATGCTTTGCTCTTTCCTGCCTGTTCTGTTACATCATAGGCCCATGAAAATGCCTTATTTCCTCTTTGTTCCCAGCTCTTCCATTCATAACCACTCACTTATTCACTAATCAAACATATAGTAAGCATTACCAATGTTCCAGGCTCTATATAAATAGAGGTGAACAACCCATGATCCTGACTTGATAATCTGGTGAGCTAAAAAAACACAAAACAACAAACATAATAATCCTATTTATAATGGAGGCTTAAACAAAAGGAACAATGCCCACATAAAATCAGCTACTTGGTCCAATTTAATTTTATTTTTAAATTTAGCAAGTAATGCCTCACATTTTCAAGTGGGGAAGCCCACTTTGCCCACTATGAAGCCATGGTAAGGATGAGGTATATAATTGAGAAAGCATAAGTAAAGTCGATCTGCCACAGCTAAGAGAAACCAAATGAACTTAAGTGAATGCAGATCCCAGATCTTCGTGATTTAAACATTATTAGAGCCCACCTCCTATCTGTTCATGGAATAGCAACTGGTTTACAGGGTAATTTGGCTGCACCCTGACTGCTGCTGTTTATGCTCCATTGACCCCTTATTCCCTGATGGAGCCTTACATTAACCAATCTTTCACATATTTGCAACCACTCTTAGGAGTTAGGGTTAGGTTAAAAGGATACATTATTGATCCGATGAGCATTTTTCCTGCTCTTTTGACCAAGATAGTAATTTCAAAAACAATAATTAAAAAAATGGTTGCAGGTAAAATAATGGATGTCATAAACCTAAGCAGTGTTTGTAATTTAGTTGATGGTGGTGATGTATCACTTGTTTCATTTGCATCCCTGTGGACACGATCTAATAAGATAAAGTGTTTGTTTTCTCAGTTTGTCACACCAAGAGTTTATCTGCTCTCTACTTATTCTGTGGGAAGTCATGATTCTCATTACTTTTTAAGTAGAGTCAGAAACCCTTTTGTATTATGCAGAACTAACCAACCAATCAATATTTAGAGAGTAAGTGAAATATGTTTGGAATAATGACAAAGGAGAAAATTGGAGACTGAGAAAAGGTAAAAGAGGTGAAGTGGATGCAGAATAGGAGCAGATGTTTTTGCAATGCCCTCTTAGAAGGAATAAAGGAAGCTGAGGCAAAATGGATTAGATCTTGAAAAGGCAAGCATTGTTTGGATTCAGGAGCTGGACAGTGAGATCTGTATAAGTGAGAGAGTAATGCAGTAGGATCAGAGACTTTACGAGGTATCAGAAGTAGAAGGAAGAATACAACACAATCTGCAGGAGGTGGAAGAGGTGGGAGGTGAGGAGAGTGGCTCAAATTCTGTAAATAGGTAGGGAGTTTTCTGTCAGTAGGCCCAGGTAGAGAAATAAGGTTGCTATGTGTTCCCATCTGAACCAGCTAAGTAATTCTGTCTCTGGAGCTGTTGTGGGGAGCTCCCACTAACCATCCAGTGTACACAAAGAACTATAAATATTTAGTCTTGGTGCCCCAAGGAATCCACAGCTCAATTAAACAAATTATTCATGTGTATGTGAGGGGAGAAAAATGCTTTCAGTGTAGCACAGTATTTCTCACCAGGTTCAATTTCATTTGTGAAAGCTTCAATATGTATGAATTTACTCCTGCATAATTTTGGCAACAATTTTATCTCCATTTTAGATTGACTGAGTATATCTCGAAGAGGATAAAAAAAACGAATCCAGGAACTGGGTACAGAAAATCAAGGTAAAATAGATGGCAGAGGAGCTGACTGTTTTTGCAGCCAAGTCTTGGGATAAAGTCAAGAGAGTGTAAATGGGGGCTTTAAAAGCAGTCTGGTAGTAACCGTGTGAAGGAAGTGTACACCGAACTTACAACCAATAGACCTCACTATTCACACAGAACAAGCATGCTCCTCAGGTAGGTCAAGATACTCCAAATTGTTTTACCAGCTGAATACGTAAAAAGATACATAATGTATCTTACATTTCCTGAAGAGTATAAGTTTAACTCACAATGTCTCTAAACCATAACATTTCACTTTTCTATCACAGAAAGTTTGGTCACTGTTGACTGAACATGTATATATTCAGCGTTCCTGCCTTCAGAGTTTCACCTGTTGGCTTACCTGCCTGAAATATTCTCACTACATACAAGTTCAATCCATCTTTTATGATTAAACACATACTACCCCTCTTTGTACAGTCTTTCCTACCACTCTGGAATCAAGTGATGGGACTTTCTATGAACATCTAGTGCATATTTATATAATTCATTTGGAAAAACAGTGTACTACCTTTAAGTATTTCTTATGTAAACCATGAATTATTTACATTTTTATGTTGTTCAACTTTTGTGTTTGTCTCTCCAACTGGATATTAAGCTCCTTGAAGTGAATATAATTATTTTTATGTACTACACCTTCCCATATAGTGGCTTGCTCATTGCTTCCTTGTTGAGTACAGAAAAATTACACAAGAATGTAAGTAATATATATTGCATTCCTAGAATATAACCTAGTGATGGTCTATTATTTATTTAAATAAACTGTTAAAACAGATAAGTTCATATTTTATTTATTTTTTTTGCATGTTGCCCATATTCATGGTTTTGGTTTCAGGTTATGGTAGACTGGTAGAAAACGGAACTTTGCAATGTTTTGTTTGTATTTTCTAGAACAGTTTAAATAGTACTGTCGATTGTTATTAGCCAACTACAGGAAACTCTTTTCTTCCTTCAATTTTGCATCATAGTGGAAGCAGAGAAACAAAAGTATCAAGTTCTCAGTTTTGGAGTTCAAAGATCCCAGTCTACGTTTAAGACAAGAAATACTTTAACAGGGGATATAAATAAGCATGAGTCTCCTACCACCATATTCCTGACTCCAAACTTCTAAAGAGTCTTCTATCAGGAGAGGCCCTCTCCTTGTCCCTCTTTCCCTGTTCTCTCTGTATCCTCTATAGAGATGGAGAGGAAGCAGGCACAGCAAACACTGGGAGCATCTCTGAGAGTCAAGTACCTCCCCATTTCCATGTGAACCCCCACTTAGACCCTTTAGCTCCTAAAGGAGAGGGAGGATGATGATGATCCCCCTGGAAATATTGGGGATCTCAGACTATACGAGATCTGTGCTGTTTCAGGTCTGGTTGGTCCTGGAAGACGCTGAGTCCAAAAGAGTTCCTCAACCCTACACAATATGGAAACACTGAGTAAAGAAAGCCTCTGCCCAATGTCTAGGAGGGCTGGAGTGACTCAGACTCACCCAGGGCCACTTTCCATCTTAAGCAGGCATGATGGAGTAGCCAAATGTTTTTATTCCTAGTGGTCTGAGTGCTGTGAAGACTGCAGAGGTCTCATGGTTGAGAGAGGGAATTAGGCAGAGGACAGTGAATCATATGATTGGAAGCCAGATAAGGCAACCTAGGATTCAGCGGGTGACATTGTCGGGGAATGGCTATACTTGGGATTATACAAATGCCAAGCAGCCCAGGAGGGAGATAGCAGGATACAGCTCACGCCACCATACTGTGAGTACACTTAATTAAGCTCTTGAAGGTAAATGTTATCCCAAAAAGAAGGCAAGAAAGGGAAGAAACAATGAAGGGAATTACATATACCTGAAAATAATGATTTTTCTGCTATAATGGGGGCCCTGAAATAATGTGGTTATTGAAATCCATTTCAATGTGGTTAGGATGAACCATAGAAAATGAACAGGACATTTTCACAATGCCTGATAATGCATAATAACAGAGCTAGTAATGTGGTTTGGAAATTTTGTAAATGGCATAATTATATGGAAATTATATGTTCCTTGAAGGTTTTACAAAATCTTTATAAAATTATTTTTTATAAAGCTGTTTGGGTCTTTTTTTGGTCACGGGGCCATTTTCATTTTTAATAAGTTTTTCCATTTTCTACCATGACTATTGATATACTTAGGTTTCCAATATTTTTAATCAAATTTGAACTTCTACATTTTCTTAGAAATTAGAAATATCCATTTTATCAAGATTTACAAATTTAATACCATCAGGTTATCACTGGTACTATCCTGTAACATCTGTCATTTCATCTGTCGCAGTGATAGAACTCTTAATTTCTAAGAAAAATTGTCTTGGGCCACACATAAAACACACTAACACTAATGATAATGGATGAACTAAAAAAAATGCAAAAAATATTTTCATAACGTTTTAAGAAAGTTTGTGAATTTGTGTTGGGTCACTTGCAAAGCTGTCCTGTGGTCCAAGACAATTCTTCCAGTGTGGCCCAGGGAAGCCAAAAGATTGGACACTTCTGCTGTAGAGCCTGAAAACCTAAAAACTACATTTCCCAGATCCCTTTGAGGCAGGGTTCTGGCCACAAATTCGAATGCAGCTGTTACGCCTGTCCTAGTCACAGAAATACTGAGTTTTTCTGCAAAAGCAAAGCCAAGTTGTGGGTGGCAAGGAGGAAGATGCAATGCTAGCAGTGGTTTCTTTTGATCCATCTCTGCTTCTTGGATAAAAATCTCTGATATTACGTTCTTGAACTCAGTTGTTCCAGTGGTAGCCTCCTAAATCTGCACCTTGTTGATTGTGTCACTATGGAAACTGGCAATACAGTTCAGCAATGTTTTTTGGGAGTAAGCCCTGAAGGCACAGCCAAAAGTCTGATTTTCCAGCTCTTCCTACAATGCTGTAAGTACCAAATTTACTGTATTAAATCTATTTATATTTAAAATGGTTAAAATATTATGATTCCTAAAGCTAATTGCTAAATAATTCCCTACTATTTTCTAATTCATTAATATCTGGTTTATCTTTATTCATTTATTTCCCTGTAAAGTTTTCTATTGTTATTCTTCTTGGTTCTTAGGTATAAGATTTAGTTCCCTTTCTTTCTTTCCTTCCTTCTTCCACCCTCCCTCCCTTCCTCCCCTCCTTTATTTATTTTCTTGTTAGGAGTAAAAGCATTAAACACTGCATTTTTCTCTGAGAATAGCTTTGGGGTAAACCCATATTTTGATATGTAGTACTGTTATTGCTAATGTCTAAATAGTATATAATTTTAGGTTTGATTTCCTCTTTTAAACAATAATTATTTGGCCAAATATTATTTCCAAAGGATTAAATAGCCCCTCTTCCTTTTTTATTTTTTGTTACCTTTTGTTTACCTAGTTTTGTTGCATTGCGGTCAGAGAATATGGCTTTCTGTCTTTTGGAAATTGTCATATTTTACATAACATAATCAAATTTTATAAATTTATAGATGCTCTTGGCACTGAAAATTTTATTTGTTCTTTGTAGCGGCAAATCCATTTTATTTATATTTTGTATGTTTTAAATTATTTTTTGCCTACTTGAAGTAAATTCTCTCACTTGTATTCCTACCAATTTCTTCTTATATTCAAACAGCTTTTGCTTGATATGAAGGTACATTAATTTAAATTTTTATTATGAATTGTCCCTTTGATTTTCTGTAAAATTTGTTTCTTGTGACTGGCTTGTCTGCCATCAAATCCATTTATTTCTTATACTTATTTCTCTTTATTTTTGCTTGCATTTGCCTAGTATTTTTCCATATTCTTTTTTTTTTATACTTTAAGTTTTAGGGTACATGTGCACAACGTGCAGGTTTGTTACATATGTATACATGTGCCATGTTGGTGTGCTGCACTCATTAACTCGTCATTTAATAGTAGGTATATCTCCTAATGCTATCCCTCTCCCCTCCCCCCACACCACAACAGGCCCCAGTGTGTGATGTTCCCCTTCCTGTGTCCAAGTGTTCTCATTGTTCAATTCCCACCTATGAGTGAGAACATGCGGTGTTTGGTTTTTTGTCCTTGCGATAGTTTACTGAGAATGATGGTTTCCAGCTTCATCCATGACCTTACAAAGGACATGAACTCATCATTTTTTATGGCTGCATAGTATTCCATGGTGTATACGTGCCACATTTTCTTAATCCAGTCTACCATTGTTGGACATTTGGGTTGGTTCCAAGTCTTTGCTATTGTGAATAGTGCCGCAAAAAAATATACATGTGCATGTCTCTTTATAGCATGATTTATAATCCTTTGGGTATATACCCAGTAATGGGATGGCTGGGTCAAATGGTATTTCCAGTTCTAGATCCCTGAGGAATCGCCACAATGGTTGACCTAGTTTACAGTCCCACCAACAGTGTAAAAGTGTTCCTATTTCTCCACATCCTCTCCAGCACCTGTTGTTTCCTGACTTTTTAATGATCACTATTCTAACTGGTGTGAGATGGTATCTAATTGTTGTTTTGATTTGCATTTCTCTGATGGCCAGTGATGATGGGCACTTTTTCATGTGTCTTTTGGCTGCATAAATGTCATCTTTTGAGAAGTGTCTGTTCATATCCTTTGCCCACTTTTTGATGGGGTTGTTTTTTTCTTGTAAATTTGTTTGAGTTTCATTGTAGACTCTGGATATTAGCCCTTTGTCAGATGAGTAGATTGCAAAAATTTTCTCCCATTCTGTAGGTTGCCTATTCACTCTGATGGTAGTTTCTTTTGCTCTGCAGAAGCTCTTTAGTTTAATTAGATGCCATTTGTCAATTTTGGCTTTTGTTGCCATTGCTTTTGGTGTTTTAGACATGAAGTCCTTGTCCATACCTATGTCCTGAATGGTATTGCCTAGGTTTTCTTCTAGGGTTTTTATGGTTTTAGGTCTAACATGTAAGTCTTTAATCTATCTTGAATTAATTTTTGTTTAAGGTGTAAGGAAGGGATCCAGTTTCAGCTTTCTACATATGGCTAGCCAGTTTTCCCAGCACCATTTATTAAAAGGGAATCGTTTCCCCATTTTTTGCTTTTGTCAGGTTTGTCAAAGATCAGATAGTTGTAGATATGTGGCATTATTTCTGAGGGCTCTGTTCTGTTCCATTGGTCTATATCTCTGTTTTGGTGCCAGTACCATGCTGTTTTGGTTACTATAGCCTTGTAGTATAGTTTGAAGTCAGGTAGCGTGATGCCTCCACCTTTGTTCTTTTGGCTTAGGATTGACTTGGCAATGCGGGCTCTTTTTTGGTTCCATATGAACTTTAAAGTAGTTTTTTCCAATTCTGTGAAGAAAGTCATTGGTAGCTTGATGGGGATGGCATTGAAACTATAAATTACCTTGGGTAGAATGGCCATTTTCATGATATTGATTCTTCCCGCCCATGAGCATGGAATGTTCTTCCATTTGTTTGTATCCTCTTTTATTTCATTGAGCAGTGGTTTGTAGTTCTCCTTGAAGAGGTCCTTCACATCCCTTGTAAGTTGGATTCCTAGGTATTTTATTGTCTTAGAAGCAATTGTGAATGGGAGCTCACTCATGATTTGGCTCTCTGTTTGTCTGCTATTGGTGTATAAGAATGCTTGTGATTTTTGCACAGTGATTTTGTATTGTGAGACTTTGCTGAAGTTGCTTATCAGCTTCAGGAGATTTTGGGCTGAGACAATGGGGTTATCTAGATATACAATCATGTCATCTGCAAACAGGGACAATTTGACTTCCTCTTTTCCTAACTGAATACCCTTTATTTCTTTCTCCTGCCTGATTGCCCTGGCCAGAACTTCCAACACTATGTTGAATAGGAGTGGTGAGAGAGGGCATCCCTGTCTTGTGCCAGTTTTCAAAGGGAATGCTTCCAGTTTTTGCCCATTCAGTATGATATTGGCTGTGGGTTTGTCATAGATAGCTCTTATTATTTTTAGATACGTCCCATCAATACTTAATTTATTGAGAGTTTTTAGCATGAAGCATTGTTGAATTTTGTCAAAGGCCTTTTCTGCATCTACTGAGGTAATCATGTGGTTTTTGTCATTGGTTCTGTTTATATGCTGGATTATGTTTACTGATTTGCGTATGTTGAACCAGTCTTTCATCCCAGGGACGAAGCCCACTTGATCATGGTGGATAAGCTTTTTGATGTGGTGCTGGATTCGGTTTGCCAGTATTTTATTGAGGATTTTTGCATCAATGTTCATCAGGGATATTGGTCTAAAATTCTCTTTTTTTGTTGTGTCTCTGCCCGGCTTTGGTATCAGGATGATGCTGGCCTCATAAAATGAGTTAGGGAGGATTCCCTCTTTTTCTATTGATTGGAATAGTTTCAGAAGGAATGGTACCAGCTCCTACTTGTACCTCTGGTAGAATTCGGCTGTGAATCCATCTGGTCCTGGACTTTTTTGTTTGGTAAGCTATTAATTATTGCCTCAATTTCAGATCCTGTTATTGGTCTATTCAGAGATTCAACTTCTTCCTGGTTTAGTCTTGGGAGGGTGTATGTGTCGAGGAATTTATCCATTTCTTCTAGATTTTCTAGTTTATTTGCATAGAGGTGTTTGTAGTATTCTCTGATGGTAGTTTGTATTTCTTTATAGTATTCTCTGATGGTAGTTTCTATTTCTGTGGGACAGGTGGTGATATCCCCTTTATCATTTTTTATTGCATCTATTTGATTCTTCTCTCTTTTCTTCTTAGTCTTGCTAGCGGTCTATCAATTTTGTTGATCTTTTAAAAAAAGCAGCTCCTGGATTCATTGATTGTTTGAAGGGTTTTTCGTGTCTCTAATTCCTTCAGTTCTGCTCTGATCTTAGTTATTTCTTGCCTTCTGCTAGCTTTTGAATGTGTTTGCTCTTGCTTCTCTAGTTCTTTTAATTGTGATGTTAGGGTGTCAATTTTAGATCTTTCCTGCTTTCTCTTGTGGGCATTTAGTGCTATAAATTTCCCTCTACACACTGCTTTGAATGTGTCCCAGAGACTCTGGTATGTTGTGTCTTTGTTCTCGTTGGTTTCAAAGAACATCTTTACTTCTGCCTTCATTTCATTATGTACCCAGTAGTCATTCAGGAGCAGGTTGTTCAGTTTCCATGTAGTTGAGCGGTTTTGAGTGAGTTTCTTAATCCTGAGTTCTAGTTTGATTGCTCTGTGGTCTGAGAGACAGTTTGTTATAATTTCTGTTCTTTTACATTTGCTGAGGAGTGCTTTACTTCCAACTATGTGGTCAATTTTGGAATAGGTGTGGTGTAGTGCTGAACAGAATGTATATTCTGTTGATTTGGGGTGGAGAGTTCTGTAGATGTCTATTAGGTCTGCTTGGTGCAGAGCTGAGTTCAATTCCTGGATATCCTTGTTGACTTTATGTCTCCTTGATCTGTCTAATGTTGACAGTGGGGTGTTAAAGTCTCCCATTATTTTTGTGTGGGAGTCTAAGTCTCTTTGCAGGTCTCTAAGGACTTGCTTTATGAATCCGGGTGCTCCTGTATTGGGTGCACATATATTTAGGATAGTTAGCTCTTCTCATTGAAATGATCCCTTTACCATTATGTAATGGCCTTCTTTGTCTCTTTTGATCTTTGTTGGTTTAAAGTCTGTTTTATCAGAGACTAGGATTGCAACCCCTGCCTTTTTTGTTTTCCATTTGCTTGGTAGATCTTCCTCCATCCCTTTATTTTGAGCCTATGTGTGTCTCTGCACGTGAGATGGGTTTCCTGAATACAACACACTGATGGGTCTTGACTCTTTATCCAATTTGCCAGTGTGTGTCTTTTAATTGGAGCATTTAGCCCATTTACATTTAAGGTTAATGTTGTTGTGTGTGAATTTGATCCTGTCATTATGATGTTAGCTGGCTATTTTGTTCATTAGTTGATGCAGTTTCTTCCTAGCCTCGATGGTCTTTACAATTTGGCATGTTTTTGCAGTCGCTGGTACTGGTCGTTCCTCTCCATGTTTAGTGCTTCCTTCAGGAGCTCTTTTAGGGCAGGCCTGGTGGTGACAAAAATCTCTCAGTATTTGCTTGTCTGTAAAGGATTTTATTTCTCCTTCATTTATGAAACTTAGTTTGGGTGGATATGAAATTCTGGGTTGAAAATTCCTTTCTTTAAGAATGTTGAATATTGGCCTGCACTCTCTTCTGGCTTGTAGAGTTTCTGCCAAGAGATCAGCTGTTAGGCTGATGGGCTTCCCTTTGTGGGTAACCCGACCTTTCTCTCTGGCTGCCCTTAACATTTTTCCTTCATTTCAACTTTCATGAATCTGAAAATTATGTGTCTTGGAGTTGCTCTTCTCGAGGAGTATCTTTGTGGCATTGTCTATATATCCTGAATTTGAATGTTGGCCTGCCTTGCTAGATTGGGGAAGTTCTCCTGGATAATATCCTGCAGAGTGTTTTCCAACTTAGTTCCATTCTCCCCATCACTTTCAAGTACACCAATCAGATGTAGATTTGGTCTTTTCACATAGTCCCATATTTCTTGGAGGCTTTGTTCATTTCTTTTTATTCTTTTTTCTCTAAACTCCTCTTCTCACTTCATTTCATTCATTTGATCTTCCATCACTGATACCTTTCCTTCCAGTTGATTGAGTCTGCTACTGAGGCTTGTGCATTCATCACATAGTTCTCGTGCCATGGTTTTCAGCTCCATCAGGTCCTTTAAGGACTTCTCTGCATTGGTTATTCTAGTTAGTCATTCATCTAATCTTTTATCAAGGTTTTTAACTTCTTTGCCATGGGTTCAAACTTCCTCCTTTAGCTCGGAGTAGTCTGATCATCTGAAGCCTATTTCTCTCAACTCGTCAAAGTCATTCTCCATCCAGCTTTGTTCCGTTGCTGGTGATGGAGCTGCATTCCTTTGGAGGAGGAGAGGCGCTCTGATTTTTAGAATTTTCAGTTTTTCTGCTCTGTTTTTTCCCCATCTTTGTGGTTTTATCTGCCTTTGGTCTTTGATGATGGTGATGTACAGATGGGGTTTTGGTGTGGATGTCCTTTCTGTTTGTTAGTTTTCCTTCTAACAGTCAGGACCTTCAGCTGCAGGTCTGTTGGAGTCTGCTGGAGGTCCACTCCAGACCCTGTTTGCCTGGGTATCAGCAGCAGAGACTGCAGAACAGCAGATATTGGTGAACAGCAAATGTTGCTGCCTAATCGTTCCTCTGGAAGTTTTGTCTCAGAGGATTTCCCGGCCATGTGAGGTGTCAGTCTGCCCCTACTGGGGAATGCCTCTCAGTTAGGCTACTCAGGGGTCAGGGACCCACTTGAGGAGGCAGTCTGTCCATTCTCAGATCTCCAGCTGCATTCTGGGAGAACCACTCCTCTCTTCAAATCTGTCAGACAGGGACAACCACTCCTCTCTTCAAATCTGTCAGACAGGGACATTTAAGTCTGCAGAGGTTTCTGCTGCCTTTTGTTTGGCTATGCCCTGCCCCCTGAGGTGGAGTCTACTAAGGCAGGCAGGCCTCCTTGAGCTGCGGTGGGTTCCACTCAGTTCGAGCTTCCCAGCCACTTTGTTTACCTACTCAAGCCTTGGCAATGGCCGGTGCCCCTCCCCCAGCCTTGCTGCCACCTTGCAGTTTGATCTCAGACTGCTTTGCTAGCAATGAGCGAGGCTCTGTGGGCATAGGACCCTCTGAGCCATGCATGGGATATAATCTCCTGGTGTGCCATTTGCTAAGACCATTGGAAAAGCGCAGTATTAGGGTGGGAGTGACACGATTTTCCAGGTGCCGTCTGTCACTCCTTTCCTTGGCTAGGAAAGGGAATTCCCTGACCCCTTGCACTTCCAGAGTGTGGCGATGCCTCGCCCTGCTTCGGCTCACGCTTGGTGTGCTGCACCCATTGTCTGACAATCCCCAGTGAGATGAACCCGGTACCTCAGTTGGAAATGCAGAAATCATTCGTCTTCTGCGTCGCTCCCGCTGGGAGCTGTAGACTGGAGCTGTTCCTATTCGGCCATCTTGGCTCCACCCCCTATTTTTCCATATTCTATAGACTTATTACATCATTTCATTTTATGTAGATTTATTTGTAAACAGCATATATTAACAGATAAATTTTGCATGTAGATATATTTATTCAATAATTTGTTTTATCTTTTTTCTTTTTTATAATACATTAAGTATATATATTTTGCTTTTAATTCTATTCATATAGGCATAATATCGCAAAAATATTATGGGTTTTTTTCAAGACCACCACAATAAAGCAAATATCACAATAAAATGAGACTTTGTTTGTTTTGTTTTCCAGTACATTGAAAAGTTGTGTTTACATTACTGTAGAGTACTAAGTATGAAATAGCACTATGTCTTTAAAAAAATGTACATTCCTTAAATTTAAAAATATTTTATTGCTAATAAAAAATTAAATTAAAAACTCTAATAATCATCTGAGCCTTCAGCGATCATAATCTTTTTGCCAATGGAGGGTTTAGCCTTGATGTTGATGGCTGCTGATTGATCAGGGTAGTGATTGCTGAAGGTTGGGGTGGCTAAAGCAATTTCTTAAAATTAAAAAAAATGAAGTTTATGCATCTATTGAATCTTTCTTTCACAAAAGATTTATCTGAAGCATGTGAGGTTATTTGATAGCATTTTATCCACAGTAAAACTTCTTTCAAAACTGAAGTCAATCCTCTCAACTCCTGCTGCTGCTTTCTCAGCTAAGTTTATGGACTATTCTAGACCTTCTGTTGTCATTTCAACAACATTCATGGCATCTTCACCAGAAGTACATTCTGCATCAAGATTCCAATTTCTTTGCTCATCCATAAGAAGCAATTACTTAAAGTTTTATCATGAGGCCGGGAGCAATGGCCTATAATCCCAGCACTTTGGGAAGCCAAGGTATATGGACCACTTGAGCTCAGGAGTTCAAGATCAGCCTGGACAACATGACAAAACCCTGTCTCTACAAAAAATACAAAGACTAGATGGGCATGATGGCATGTGCATGTAGTCCCAGCTACTTGTGGGGCTGAGGTGGGAGGATCACTTGAGCTGGGGAGGTTGATGAGTCTGCAGTGAGTCATGTTTGTGCCACAGCATTCCAGCCTGGATGACAAAGCAAGACCCTGTCTCAAAAAAAAAAAAAATAAGTTTTATCATTAGGTTGCAGCAGTTCAGTCACATCTTGAATTCTCTCTTGGTATTTCCACCACATCTGCAGTTATTTCCTTGACTGAAATCTTGAACCCCGCAAAGTCGCCCATGAGGGTTGGAATCAACTTCTTTCAAACTCTTGTTAATGTTGATATTTTGACCACCACCCAATGAATAATGAATGTTCTTAATGGTATCTGGAATGGTGATTTATTTCCAGAAGGTTATCAATTTACTTTGCCCAGATCCATCAGAGGAATCAGTGTCTGTAACAGCTATAGCCTTACAAACAGTATCTCTTATATAATAAGACTTGAAAGTCAAAATGACTCCTTGATCCATGGACTACAGAATGATGTGTTAGCAGGCATGAAAACAATGTTAATCCCCTGTACTTCTCCATCAGAGCTCTTGGGTGACAGGTGCATTGTCAATGAGCAATAATATTCTGAAAATCCTTTTTCCTGAGCAGTAGTTCTCAAGAGTGGGCTTAAAATATTCAGTAACCTATGTTGTAAACAGACATGCTATCATCCAGACTTTATTGTTCCATTGATAGAGCACAGGCAGAATAGATTTAGCACAGTTATAAAGGGCCCTAGAATTTTCGGAATGGTAAATGAACATTGACTTACACTTAATGTCACCAGCTACATTAGCCCATAACAAGAGAGTCAGTCTGTCCTTGGAAACTTTGAAGCTAGCCATTGACTTCTCTTCTCTAGCTGCGAAAGTCTTAGATGACAACTTCTTCCAATAGATGGCTGTTTCGTCTACACTGAAAATTTGTTGTTTATGTAGTCACCTGCATCAATGATGTCAGCTAGATCTTCTGGATAACTTGCTGTAGCTTCTACATCAGCACTTGCTGCTTCACCTGGCACTTTTATGTTATGAAGATGGCTTCTTTCCTTCAACCCCATGAACCAACCTCTGCTAGCTTCCAGCTTTCCTTCTGCAGCTTCCTCCCCTCTCTCAACCTTCATAGAATTGAAGAGAGTTAGAGCCTTGATCTGGACTAGGCATTGGCTTAAGGTTGTTGTAGCTGGTTTGATTTTCTATGCAGACTACTAAAACGGTCTGCATTATCAGCAAACTGTCTGCATTATCACTTTCTCATCATTCATGTGTCCACTGGATAACCACTGTTAGTTTTCTTCAAAAACTTTTTCTTTTCATTCACAATTGGGCTAACCTTTTGGCACAAGAAGCCTATCGTTGGGTCTATCTTGACTTTCAACATGGCTTCCTCACTAAACTTAATCATTTCTAGCTCTGGATTTAAAGTGAGAAATGTGTGACTCTTCTTTTCTCTTGAGCACTTAGAAGCCATTGTAGGGTTTCTAATTGGCCTAATCTCAATATTGTTGTGTATCAGGGTATAGAAAGGCCCAGTAAGAAAGGAATAGATGGGGGGAGCAGCCAACTGGTGGACAGTCAGAAACTACACACACATTTATTGATTAAATTCACTATCATCTCTGGACACAGTTCCTGACACCGCCAATTACAATGGTAACATTAAAGATTACTGATCACAAATCACCAAAGCAACTATAATAATAATAATAAATTTGAAATATTTTGAGAATTACCAAAATGTGACACAGGGACATGAAGTAAGAAAATGCTGTTGGGAATATGGTGCCAATAGAATTTTACACTCAGAATTGCCACAAACATTCAATTTGTAAACATCGCAATATCTGCAAAGTGAAATAAAGCTAAGTGCAATGAAATGAGGTGTGACTGTAATTAATTTAAGATTTGTATGTAAGAAAAATTAGTTTTCTGAAAGTGATCTACATTTATCATTAAACAATCTAAACAATTCCCAAAATTCAGAGGGGATTGCAAGATCTATTCCTAGCCTTTTAGCCCAAAAACAACCATCACTAAACTTTGTTTACCATAATTTCACTTCTCTATATTTAATTATGCAAATAGAATCATATAAAATGGGATTGATGACCACATACTTGGAAGTAAAGCACTCCTCAGCAAATGTAAAAGAACAGAAATTATAACAAACGGTCTATCAGACCACAGTGCAATCAAACTAGAACTCAGGATTAAGAAACTCACTCAAAACCACTCAACTACATGGAAACTGAACAACCTGCTCCTGAATGACTACTGGGTACATAATGAAATGAAGGCAGAAATAAAGATGTTCTTTGAAACCAACAAGAACAAAGACACAACATACCAGAGTCTCTGGGACACATTCAAAGCAGTGTGTAGAGGGAAATTTATAGCACTAAATGCCCACAAGAGAAGCAGGAAAGATCTAAAATTGACACCCTAACATCACAATTAAAAGAACTAGAGAAGCAAGAGCAAACAACACATTCAAAAGCTAGCAGAAGGCAAGAAATAACTAAGATCAGAGCAGAACTGAAGGAGATAGAGACACAAAAAACCCTTCAAACAATCAATGAATCCAGGAGCTGGCTTTTTGAAAAGATCGACAAAATTGATAGACTGCTAGCAAGACTAAGAAGAAGAAAAGAGAGAAGAATCAAATAGACACAATAAAAAATGATAAAGAGGATATCACCACCAATCCCACAGAAATACAAGCTACCATCAGAGAATACTATAAACACCTCTACGCAAATAAACTAGAAAATCTAGAAGAAATGGATAAATTCCTCGACACATACACCCTCCCAAGACTAAACCAGGAAGAAGTTGAATCTCTGAACAGATCAATAACAGACTCTGAAAGTGAGGCAATAATTAATAGCCTACCAACCAAAAAAACTCCAGGACAAGACAGATTCACAGCCAAATTCTACCAGAGGTACAAGGAGGAGCTGGTACCATTCCTTCTGAAACTATTCCAATCAATAGAAAAAGAGGGAATCCTCCAAACTCATTTATGAGGCCAGCATCATCCTGATAGCAAAGCCTGACAGTGACACAACAAAAAAAGAGAATGTTAGACCAATATCCCTAACGAACATTGATACAAAAATCCTCAATAAAATACTGGCAAATCGAATCCAGCACCACATCAAAAAGCTTATCCACCATGATCAAGTGGGCTTCGTCCCTGGGATGAAAGACTGGTTCAACATACGCAAATCAGTAAACATAATCCAGCATATAAACAGAACCAATGACAAAAACCACATGATTACCTCAGTAGATGCAGAAAAGGCCTTTGACAAAATTCAACAATGCTTCATGCTAAAAACTCTCAATAAATTAAGTATTGATGGGACGTATCTAAAAATAATAAGAGCTATCTATGACAAACCCACAGCCAATATCATACTGAATGGGCAAAAACTGGAAGCATTCCCTTTGAAAACTGGCACAAGACAGGGATGCCCTCTCTCACCACTCCTATTCAACACAGTGTTGGAAGTTCTGGCCAGGGCAATCAGGCAGGAGAAAGAAATAAAGGGTATTCAGTTAGGAAAAGAGGAAGTCAAATTGTCCCTGTTTGCAGATGACATGATTGTATATTTAGAAAATCCCATCGTCTCAGCCCAAAATCTCCTGAAGCTGATAAGCAACTTCAGCAAAGTCTCACGATACAAAATCACTGTGCAAAAATCACAAGCATTCTTATACACCAATAGCAGACAAACAGAGAGCCAAATCATGAGTGAGCTCCCATTCACAATTGCTTCTAAGACAATAAAATACCTAGGAATCCAACTTACAAGGGATGTGAACGACCTCTTCAAGGAGAACTACAAATCACTGCTCAATGAAATAAAAAAGGACACAAACAAATGGAAGAACATTCCATGCTCATGGATAGGAAGAATCAATATCGTGAAAATGGCCATACTGCCCAAGGTAATTTATAGATTCAATGCCATCCCCATCAAGCTACCAATGACTTTCTTCACAGAATTGGAAAAAACTACTTTAAAGTTCATATGGAACCAAAAAAGAGCCTGCAATGCCAAGTCAATCCTAAGCCAAAAGAATAAAGGTGGAGGTACCACGCTACCTTACTTCAAACTATACTACAAGGCTATAGTAACCAAAACAGCATAGTACTGGTACCAAAACAGAGATATAGACCAATGGAATAGAACAGAGCCCTCAGAAATAATACCACACATCT